>NC_000012.12:70944976-71096491 GCF_000001405.40 Homo sapiens
ACACCCCCTGCAATATTGGGAGTAATAACAACCTCTCCCACCCAAGATGTCAGGAACAATATCACAGGAGTGGTGTACAGCCCCTGTGATACTAAGAGTAAGGTCATTCTCTAACCCCTGAAGATTAGGAACAATATCATTGCAGAGGTGTACACCCCCTGTGAAACTAGATGTAATATTATCCTCTCCCTACCTGGATATTAGAAACAATGTCACAGGAGTGCTGTACACCCCATGCAAATTTGGGAGTAATATCATTTTCTTTCCAACCAGATATTAGAAACAATATCAATATCAAAGGTTGTTTGATTCTCATTGTTCAATTCCCACCTACGAGTGAGAACATGCGGTATTTGGTTTTCTGTCCTTGCGATAGTTTGCTGAGAATGATGGTTTCCAGCTTCATCCATGTCCCTACAAAGGGCATGAACTCTTCCTTTTTTATGGCTGCATAGTATTCCATGGTGTATATGTACCAGATTTTCTTAATCCAGTCTATCATTGATGGACATTTGGGTTGGTTCCAAGTCTTTGCTATTGCGCATAGTGCCACAATAAACATACATGTTCATGTGTCTTTACAGCAGCATGATTTATAACCCTTTGGGTATATGTCCAGCAATGGGATGGCTGGGTCAAATGGTATTTCTAGTAGTAGTGTTTTAGTAATGTTCTTCTGTGTTGTACCTTGTCATCATATAGTACTTTCTCATTAATATCTTTTTGAAAAGGACGTGTGCCAGTTGTTAAGCCACTAAGCGTGCTCTAAACCATAATGCACTGCAGAATGGAGGAGGTGCATGAGAATTTGTTCATAACCATGACCTTCCACATCATGCTGAGAAGGCAGGGAGCAGGCCTGTGGAGGTGCACTTACCAAAGAGGCTGTACCAGCCCATTAATGGGATGCCACAGACGGTGAGCTGTGTGTGCCGAGTGAAAGCTCTGCGGACACATTTTAAGCAAATTGATGTGCTTGTGTACCATCATTTGGACTATACCTGTGAGTACTTTGATATTTGCCTTGATGTATATTTGATGTGGGTTTTTAATGTATTTTAGAGTAAACCCTGCACATCTTTATCCTTGTCTGTTCCCTAAAGGGATGTTATTTGTGAATCTTATTAAAAATTAACGTGAATCTACTTTCCATACACTGTCTGTCACAGATGAAGAATGACCTGTGTTGATAAGTATAATCCATTCATTGATTTCTGAACCCAGATACACTGGAAAGCATCTCAAATCATGTGATAGATCTGCACAAAACTTAATGATTTATCTAAATGATGTACAAAATTTCATGTTTCATAAAAGCCCTCTGGTGGCTATAAATTCAGAGAATTATATTTCTCTCTGGAAGAGGGAAAATATAATAGCCCCTGAATTCAGTCCCAATCAATATAGCACTAACTGTACTTCCTTTTCACTCAAGCCACATGTGTTAGAACAAAACAACTCAAGTTAGCATCCTACCAGTGATGGATATAAAACTTGAAAGAAGTCAGCTAAACTGAGAATTAACTGGGAAAACCTTGCTAACATGACAGAACCCTTGTGGCAGCAGACCATTGTTTGAAGTATTCAAGTTCAATTTATATGTTGCAAAAAACCAAACAAATGGGAAAAAAAGAGACCCACTCACTACCAAAACTAGAAACACAACAAAAGCTCTATGGAACATAGGCCTACAAGTTCTGGATTAACCTTCTCCATCACACAAACATCACAAAGAGTTTTGGTAAGAATATTATCTTCTACCTACTTTAATATGTTCCCAGAAGATAACAGAAAAGCTAGGCAGAAGAGTGATAAAGAATTATAGACTCTAAGAGGCATTAGGTAAGTTATTTATCTTCTGTAACCTCAATTTCCTCACTGCAAAAGGGAAATAATATTCTCTAGTGTTATTGGGAAAACTAAATTATATAGTATATGTAAAGCTCTTACATAGTGCTTGGCACATGTAAAAGTGATGACTAAGTGTGATTATTATTATTGTTATTGGAGGGTTTGCATTGACATTCATCACTACTTGTAAATTAATTTTGCCATCTACTAGCAGGTGACATATAAAGAATTTGAGTGAAAAATATTAAGAGAGAAAAACAGGAAATGGACTAAATGATATTTATTAATTTTAGCTATAAATTAGGAAAATATTGCTGCTATTTAATTTAGTGCAGAAATACATGTGTTCTACAGAAACAGTTTGAAAACCAGTTTTCAAGACATGGCATAATTACACAGTCTGAAATGTACTATTGTGGAATATTTCTTTTTTTGCTTTTTTTAAATTAGACTTCGAGTTCTAGGGTACATGTGCACAACGTGCAGGTTTGTTACATATGTATACATGGGCCATGTTGGTGTGCTGCACCCATTAACTCGTCATTTACATTAGGTATTTCTCCTAATGTTATCCCTCCCCCCTCCCCCCTCTCCCCACCCCACTACAGGTCCCAGTGTGTGATGTTCCCCTTCCTGTGTCCAAGTGTTCTCATTGTTCAATTCCCCCCATGAGTGAGAACATGCAGTGTTTGGTTTTCTGTCCTTGTGATAGCTTGCTGAGAATGATTGTTTCCAGCTTCATCCATGTCCCTACAAAGGACATGAACTCATCCTTTTTTATGGCTGCATAGTATTCCATAGTGTATATGTGCCATATTTTCTTAATCCTGTCTATCATTGATGGACATTTGGGTTCGTTCCAAGTCTTTGCTATTGTGAATAGCACCGCAATAAACATACGTGTGCATGTGCCTTTATAGCAGCATAATTTATAATCCTTTGGGTACATACCCAGTAATGGGATGGCTGGGTCAAATGATATTTCTAGTTCTAGATCCTTGAGGAATCGTATGTGGAATATTTCTATTCTGTTTTTTCACAGCAAATAGAATTAAGCAAAGAATAACTTCAGTAATTATATTGTGTTGACCAACTTGCTTCTTTTGCAAAGATATGTGCATTTGGTGCTGTGATTTTTATATTGTACACACATAATATAGCCATGTTTTCTGTTAGTAAAATTTCTTCTCCTTTAAATGGGAGTTCAATACCTCAGCATGCATCATTCTTACAGTTTTGCCACCTGAATAAACTTGAGAAACTTCAAGTTAATTTAAAGATGGCTAATTTCAGAAGTTTGTGATAAATCTCCAGCAATGAAGATTGTACTGAATTTGAAGGGCTCTGATGAAAGACATAAGGAAGTAAGGTGGTAGAAAGAAAGTATTTTCATAATAAACAGTAAGTTAAACAATGAAGATACAGTGCTTGGGGTGCTCTATACAACACTTCCCACACATAAAAATGTGTTGACTAAATGAATGCTGGTGTCCCACCAGAAGGGACAAATGCCAAGATAAATATAACAAATATCCCCAAGCACCACAGGGAAAAAATTCACATAAATATTTATTCCTAATAAAAACCTGAGAAAAGCAAACAGCGGCAGGAGAATACAATGTAATTACACATGGAAAAGATGAAACTATTTCTGAACCTGACGCTGACCCATACACAATGACATTAACGGTCAAGCAGCCATTGTTATGAATATATTCACATGCTCAGTCCACACTTAATGATGCATGTCCTTCATTCCAAGTTTTATTCTGGGCACCAGGGATTCAGGGGTGAAAAAGATGCTGCCTAAGACAATATGGAACTCTTAGTATATTTGGAAAACAGCTGAGAAAGTGATACAATTACTGAAGAGTGAATTAACTAACGCGTGGTCACAGATGAGAGTTTCTCTCACTCCGCATGGAATGTCAGAATGCTTCCAAGAGGAAATGACACCTGACATGACTTTGCTGATTTGAAGGAATTCCTAGAATTAAAACAAGTTCTAGAAAACATTCCAATATACAAAGGCTCAGAAGTACAAAAGCACAGGAGGCATTTAGAGGGATGACAAGGAGTGCTGTATTTTAGGTCACAATGTGCCAAGTAAAAAGAATGATTGGTAAGAAGATGATAAGAACCCAAGTAATACAGCCTTGTTATGTACTGGAACAGAGGTGACTCAGATATATTTGGTGTCTAGCTTCTTTTGGAGGACTGGCTTTGGTGGTCTCTATATTCTGGGACAACAGCAGATGTCAGTAGTGTCTTTTATCCATGGCTTATGATGCTTAGGCCACAGAGCAAATACCAGAATAGTCTCTAAGGGGGAGAGACCAGGAAACTTTGAGCCAGGAAATTTTGTCTACAAGCAGCTAGGGATCCTGAGCCAAGCATGAGAAGCCAAGATTGAGAGCCAAATGGGAATCTGAGACTTAGACAGATGAGTGCAGAGAGCAGTGAGACAGAACAGGCAAATTGGTGTCAATTTGGGTAAGTTCTGAAGGTAGCTGAAAAACCCATGAGAAAATGTTTCAGCACTCTTGGCGATTTGTTTATGTGTGTGGTTGCTTTGAGGGTCCATAGTAGGACAGTTATCTGGCACACAGTTGGTTCGCAACAGGGTGTGTGGTTGTGTTATACTATTTGTCTATTTACATATTTGCCTACATACAATGATTCACCTTAGAGTCAAGAATCTCTTCGATGGAGAAAATCTTTTAGGACGCTTTAATATGAAGTGTATAGGTCTGGTGCAGTGGCTCACGCCTGTAATCCCAGCACTTTGGGAGACCGAGGCGGGTGGATCACCTGAGGTCAGGAGTTCAAGACCATCCTGGCCAACATGGCGAAACTCCGTCTCTACTAAAAATCAAAAACAAAATCAAAAATAAGCTGGGCGTGGTGGCACATGCCTGTAATCCCAGCTACTCGAGAGGCTGAGGCAGGAGAATCTCTTGAACCTGGGAGGTGGAGGTTGCAGTGAGCCGAGATTATGCCATTGCACTCCAGCCTGGGCAACAAGAGCTAAACTCTACCTCAACAACAACAACAACAACAACAACAACAACAACAACAACAACAAAATGAAGTGTATAAAATTCATTATAAAACATCATCTTCTTGTTCATTGCTGTACAACAGAGCCTATTATAGTGTCTGGAGTAGATGTAATCTCAATTGAAATGAAATGAAATAGCTATCTAATGAAGCCGCCCTTAAAAACCAGGTTAATTGTGGCAGAGAATTGATTTCTACACATTCTTCATCTTTAATTTTATTTATTTATTAAAAGTTTTTTTTTTTATTTCAATAGATTTGTGGTAAAAATGGACAGGATTTAGGGTGACATGGATGAATTGTGTAGTGATGAAATCTGGGTTTTTAGTGTGCCCATCACCCTAATAGCATACATTGTACCCAATAGATGATTTTTTCATCCCTCACCATCCTCCTACCCTCATCCCTTCTGAGTCTCCAATGCCCATTATACCACTCTGTATGCCTTTGTAAACTCATAGCTTAGCTCCCACTTATAAGTGAGAAGATGTTGTACTTGATTTTCCATTCCTGGGTTATTTCACTTAGGATAATGGCCTCCAGGTCCATCCAAGTTGCTGTAAAAGACATTATTTTGTTCTTTTTTATGGCTGAGTAGTATTCCATGATATAAATCCATGACATTGTAGTTACCCACTCACCAGTCGATGGCTACTTAGGTTGATTTTATATCTTTGGAATTATGACTTGGGCTGGGAAAAAACATATGAGTGCAGCTGTTTTCGATATTATGGTTTATTTTCCTTTTGGTAGATATCCAGCAGTAGGATTGCTGGATCAAATGTTAGATCTACTTTTAGTTCTTTGAGAAATTTCCATACTGTTTTCCATAGAGGTTATACTAACTAACATTCCCACCAACTAACATTCCCACCAGTGTATAAGTGTTCCCTTTGCATCATATCTGTGCCAATATCTATTGTTTTTTGACTTTTTAATAATGACAATTCTTATTGGGGTAAGGTAGTATCTCACTGTGGTTTTAATTTGCATTTCCCTGATAATCTTTAATTCTAAAACTGAAAGAATGCTTTAAAATAGTAATATAAGCATCAACTTTATTAAAAAATTAAAAATTGAAATAAATAATTTAAGACAAGCATTAAACTAAAATGAAAAATTATACTAATACAAGTAACAGACTTTATAACAAAATATAGAGGAATGCTTTGCAAAACGTTACCTAACTTTGGAAAAAAAGAGGGATTTTTATGATTAAAACATCAGAACAAATAATTTTTGCAGTTTAAAATGGCCTTTTAGGAAGTTTTAAAGGTCACTATAGAGGTATAAAACATGAAATTTTGAGAGCTGAGAGAAAAGAACGGATAGATTATTTGATACAATCAGTTTCTATTGTAGGTGAGTTGAGACCCACAAAATGACTTACTAAAAAGGGTTTTTTATATGAGACCCTCTCTTACACATTTTTTTCCTGTACTTGGGATGATACACTATAATCAAGTATAATACAACAGAGTCTTTATTGCCCCTACCTATAAGCTCTTAAGCATAGGCATTATACAAAAACGAGTATCACTGCATCTCCAAAACGCAGCATGGAGCTAGGCATGATAGGAAGTCAATGAATATTTGATGGATGACTAAATAAATTAATGAATAAATGCTGGTCTATGTATAAAAGTCTGCCCATGTGGGGAAAAATAATATTTTACATAAGATTGATATCTCCTGCATTAATATGCATCTGTTCTCTTTCCTGTCTATACTAGAACTCATCATAGAACACTTTAATTAGTATAAAGTTCTGAGATAGCCAGTGCCTGATTTTTTTTCCACATTAGCGAAGCTAGATTTGTTAAGACTCATAAGTTCATGTGATGCCAACAGTTTTCCCAGTCATCTGTGCCTGAACGCTTAACGTGGTTATCTTTCTATGGGGAATGTACCTTTTCCAAATTAACTCTGAGAACTCTGGTTGATTCTAGGTTTATCCTAGCTTTAGCCTCTTCTTTGGAGAGGCTAAGTTGTTTTATATCTGATATCATCATATTTTCCTGGCAAAGATTAAGAATTTAGTCCAAATACACAAACTTACTTTAAGATGAGCCATATTATAAACACTAAGTAAAGTCTGTTTCTAGTGGTTGTGAAATTGACCAAGATGAAAACTGAATTAACATTTTCTTTTCTTTTTTTGGTCAGTCTAATAGAGTAATGTATTTATTAATTTTTCCAGCTTCATTGCAGTACAGTTGACAAATAAAAATTGTATATATTAAAGGTGTATAGCATGTTGTGAAATGATCACCATAATCAAACTAATTAACATATCAATCACCTCTTATCATTGTGATTTTTCGTGTGTGGTGAGAATACTTAAGATCAACTCTTTCAGCAAATTTCAAGTATACAACACAGTATTACTAATATTTTCTTTGATTTGAGTCATACAAGAGGAGGCCAAGTTGAACCATTAAACCATAAGACATGATGCTGTCTGACACTCTCATTCAAAACAACTCCTTTTCTAAAAGACACAGCCTCCCAGCCAATGCTATTTGTAAACAGATGACTGAAGATATTGGCTTAATACTAAAAGGATACTCAACACTTTCTTTTTCATTAGATTTTCTTGCAGAAGATCACTGATGTGTGGGTTCAATAGGGTATTTATTCTTCAGAACTTACATATAGCTAGGGTTGTGTGGGCTGCGTATTATTGAGATTGTAATCTTTGGAGAGATGACTACTTCAGATATCCCCTTCTGCTTATAAGAAAGGGATGAGCAGCAGTTCATAACAGTGGGAATATCAAATCATGGGACAGCAGGCTATTGCCACTCACTTCTGTGTTCCATAAAGATCACTGTGTAATGCTCTGAAAATGCTTTTGAGCAAATGCAGACAGATTCTCAAAGAATTCTCTCTACAGCAGCAAAATACAATGGTAATTTTTTTCATATTATAATATTTTATTCTCATATTCAATAGAAAATAAATATAATAGTACCATTCTCCTTACAATTTGGATTCCTTTTCTTTCAGTGAAACTAACTTCTATGCCTGTTGATTATTCATATTGTATCAGGATGATAGTAGAAAAATGTCCACCAGTCATTAATACAACACACCAGATGGAAAAAAACCAAGCATCTCTCTTTTAATAGCAGAAACTCTGAAATGTATTAAGAAGGTACTCTTTATAAGAATAGCTATTTTCTCTTAGACATCTGTTTTATTCTCCTATAAGATTCGATCCATGCTTCAGAGTCATATTCTTTGGAATATTAAGTAGCTTGAGAAGTTATTACTTAGAGTGTAAAAACATAGACTTGTAGCCAGTTGACTGAAGAATGTAATTCATTGGGATGTTATGGTAATATAGATCTATTCTATTAACTACCCCCAACTATTCTATGTTGACTCCAACCTTCCAACAGGGTAAAGGGTCTCTTCCTAACACCTTGGTCAGATTCCATAACTTTCCTGACACATGTTTTAACTAGAATAGCCTCATTTAAGTATATAAAGTGTCAAAGTTTGTTTTAAAACTATAATGTCAAACTCTTTATAAAGTTTATTTCCCTGCAATGCTTAGTGCTAACTAGATGAACTAGTCACTCCACACATATTAGTTTCTGATAGAACTATATAAAGCAAATACTGTTATCATCCCCATTTTACAAATGAGGAAATTGAGGTTCATATAGGTTATTTGTACAATTTGTACAATAATGAGCAGCAAGTAAACTGTAGATACCTAGTTCTGAAGCCTGAGCCATTTCCAGTAAAACTTACTACACAATAGTAATGAAGATTTCATTACCACCCTTTGTGCCACATTTAAGCCATTTTTAAAATGCATTTGTAATCCTTTAGAATGATATTCTTGAAACATACACCTTGCTCATCTTCCACGAAGGCTCCAGAGGTTAGAAACTCACAAATATATATTTTTTTTCTAAAAAGAGATCCCTTTTCAATTTCCTTCATGGGTCTTCGATGTGTCCAATTTTCCACACCCAATTTTTTATATATTAACACATCATCAGTGCTGTCCATGTTATTTTTACATGCTTTAATATGTTGACAACATTAAACATAAAATCAAGGTTTCTTGTTTACAAGTTACATAGCTGAATGTAAAGAAGATCCCTGGGCCCTTATTTCTTTTTTTCCATCTTATTCAGAGGAGGATTGAAATTCTTTGTTTGATGGTCATTCTAATATTACACATTTCCCCTTTTGAGATAGTGATTATTTCCTCAAACCTATTTTCTCTGGTTTCTGTTTGACTTCTAAGGCATCAGCCAATTTTAGATATTCATTTAGCTTGTCGTTTGCCTCATGACTTTTATTTTCTTGGCCAATAGTTAATCATCAAAATAACCCTCAAAATCCTAATATCTGCGATTGCTGAAATGTACGTTTTCAATTTTCCTCAAGTAATCTTTCAGCTGTTTTTTGGTAATGGCTACAATGGCAAGATGTTTGCTAATCACTAGTGATCTCACATGTTCTTTTTTGAAAATGGACTTAAAACACCTACATATTCTTTCTTCCAAAATTTTCATATTTTGTTCTTTCTCTCCTTTTGCTAATACATTTATTTTTGTTTTAATGCTTCTGCCTACTTAAACGCACTTATAAAAGCCTTTCTAAGTTAGCAAAACTGCAAAATGTTCATGGTGATCTTGATAAAATAGCTCCTAGATATGTAATAAGATCATTTCTACCCATGACCAGATGATCATGCAAATTTCAGTTTACCTTTGACAATTCAATTTTTAAAGATAAAAATGTCTAATTGTTGCTATAACTAAAGAAATGGTACTCCAAAATTCAAGGTCTTACTTCTCTAATATTTTAGTGCTACTGTCACTTGCCCAATAAATTATCCAGATCATTTGATTAAAATGAATATTTAGGTTTTGACTGTTCATCTGCATTTCACTTTACTTTTTATCCCCCATTTGAATAATTGTCTTTCAAGCAAAGAGAGGCTGAAATAAACTGTAACAGACATTTTAAAATTCCACAATTTTAATTGTGATTGGTGCCTGTAAATTTGCCATGTGGAAGATCTTGAAAAAGCAGATGAGGAGAAAGGGAAGGTGGTCAGGTCATTTTCTTTTTCTTCAGAAATGAAATTTTTGTCTAGTTCTATGTGTTTCAATGGAAAAAGACCTGTTTTATTTATCTAAGTGAGCAAATGAAAGCACACAGTCTGAGCTTTCATGGACCATATCAGCTGAGAAACTAAAAATATTTAATGTTTTGGTTGATGTTGAAAATTTCTGTTGCAACATGTTGCATAAATATCACATCACGTTTTAAAAACAACTCCACTTGTTCTCCAGTATCTTCTGCCTTATCAAACTATAAGTCCAGGTTATTGAAAGTGATACTGCAAGTCACATTGAAATGTAAAATTTCATCTTCTCAAAATTTTTGCTTAATTATGTAATAGACTTTATTCATTCACCCACACATATTTCAAGCTAAAAAATTTATTAAGGACCTTCTGTATACTGTGCACTATACTTGGCATATGAATACAACAATCAAT
Organism: Homo sapiens; assembly: GCF_000001405.40. Lineage (NCBI taxonomy): Eukaryota > Metazoa > Chordata > Mammalia > Primates > Hominidae > Homo > Homo sapiens. The sequence continues at coordinate 70,955,421 of NC_000012.12, forward strand.
TAAGAAGTCATTAAATTCAAACAGCTTAAGATCTAGTGGTAGAAAATTAGATGACGGTTAAAGCAAGGTATGATATATGCTTATGAAGAAATAGAAAATTAGTGCTAAGGGTACACATAGAACACACAGAAACAATGCCTCCAGCTGTTACAATGGTTTCCTTCCTCTTCTTTTTATTTATTTATTTATTTATTTATTTATTTATTTATTTATTTATTTTGAGACAGGGTCTCACTTGTTGCCCAGGCTACAGTTCAGGGGTGTGATCATAGCTCATGGGAACCCTGCACTCCTGGATGGACTCAAGTGAGCCTCCTGCCTCAGCTAAGACTACATGCATGTGCCATCATGAGTAGCTAGGACCACAGGCATGCACCACTATGACTAGCTAATATATACATATACATATATTTTTTAATAGAGACAGGGTCTTGCAATATTGCCCAGGTTGGTCTTGGATTCCTGGCTTAAGCAAGTCTCTCATCTCAGCCTCCAAAAACGCTAAGATTATAGGCAAGAGCCACCACACCCAGTTAGCTTACTTCTTTTGAATACTTGTACAGAAAAGTGTGCAGCATATGGTTATAAATTTATATATATTCCATTTTTTCTCTGGAATAGGATGTTGCCTAACAGACAAGAGATTTGAGCAGAAGGGAGATTTATTTTGCCTTTACTAATTATCTTTTGAGATAAAGACATACCTTCTTTTAAAAAATCCATTGTCTATTCCAGACAGCAAAAAGTAAAGGAATTCATTACCGCTAGATCAGTCTTACAAGAAATTCTTAAGGGAGTCCTACAACTGGAAGTAAACAGATGATATTATTATCATGAAAAAATACAAAAGCATAAAACTCACTGGTGGAGCAGATACACAAAAAGGAAAGAGAAAAGAAAGAACTAAACCTTATCACTAAAGAAAACCACCAAAATGCAATGACAAACAATAGGGAGGAAGAAAGGAGCAAGGAATACACATGAACAACCAAAAACAATTAAGAGAATGACAGGAGTAAGTCTTCATCTATCAATAATAACCTGAATGTACATGGATTAAATTTCCACTTAAAAGATACAGACTGGCTGAATGGATTTTAAAAATAACCCATTTATATGCAGCCTACAGAAAAATCACTTTACCTGTAAAGACACCTATAGACTGAAAGTGAAGGAATGAAAAAAGACATTTCACACAAATAGAAAACAAAATTGAGCAGTGGTTGATATACCTATATCGGAAACAAACAGGCTTCAAGTAAAAAACTGTAGAAAGAGATAAAGGTCATTATGTAATGACAAATGGATAAATTCAGTGAGTATATAACAATTACATATGCACCCAGTATCAGAGCACCCAGGTGTCTAAATAAAATATTAGATCTAAAGAGAGAGATAGACTCTAATACAATAATAGTTGGGAACTTCAACATCCTACTCTCAATACTGGAAAGATATATAGACAGAACATAAACAAAAAACATAGGATTTAAGCTGCACTTTAAACAAAATGGACCTAGTAGACATTTGCAGAACATTTCACCTAACAGATGCAGAATACATATTTTTTTCATCAGCACATGGAACCTTCTCCAGAATAGACCATATCTTAGTGTGCAAAACAAGTCTCAACAAATTCAAATAAGTGGAAATCATATCAAGCACCTTTTCTGACCACATTGAACTAAAAGTAGAAATCAACAATAAGAGAAACTTTGGAAATTATACAAATACATGGAGATTAAACAACATACTCCTGAATGACCAATGGGTCAATGAAGAAATTAAGGAGAAGATTAAGAAATTTCTTGAAATAAACAAAAATAGAAACACCTCATACTAAAACCTGTGGGATACAGCAAAAACAATATTAAGGAGGAAGTTTCTAGCAAAAAAAACTATATCAAAAAAGTAGAAATATTTCAAATAAACAACCTAATGGTACATCTCAAGAAATTGGAAAAGCAAAAACAAACCAAATCCAAAATTAAAAGAAAAAAAGAAATACTGAGGATCAGAATTGAAATAAAATCAAGACAACAAATTACAAAAGATCAATGAAATTAAAAGTTCTTTTTTTAAAAGGTAAAGAAAATCAACAAACCATTAGCTAGACTAATCAATAAAAAAATACCCAAGTAAGTAAGTGAAATCAGAAATGAAAAAGAAAATATTAGAACTGATACCACAGAAAAACAAAGGATCATTAGAGACTGCTGGGAACAACTATACACCACAGAATTGGAAAAGCTAGTGGAAGTGGGTATATTCCTGAACACATACAACCTACCAAGATTAAACCAAGAGGAAATAGAAAACCTGAACAGACCAATTATGAGTAATGAGATTGAATCTGTAATGAAAATGCTCTCATTAAAAAATAATCTCAATGGCTTCACTGCTGAATTATACCAACTATTTAAAGAACTAATATGACTTCTTCTCAAACTCTTCCAGAAAACTGAAGAGGAGGTAATTTTTTCAAATTCATTCTACAAAGTCATTATCACTCTGATACCAAAATTAGCTAAGGACACAACAAAAAAAGAAAACTATAGGCCAACATACCTGGCAAACACAGATGCAAAAATTCTCAACGAAATACTAGCAAACCAATTTCAGCAGCACATTAAAAAGGTTGTTTACCATGATCAAATGGAATTTACCCCAGAAATGCAAGAATGCTTCAACCTATGCAAATTCATAAAAATGATACATTACATCAACAGAATGAAGGACAAAAAACAGTTGATAAAATTCAACATCCTTTATAATAAAAACTCTCAACCAGTTAAGTATAGAAGAAATGCACCTCAACACAATAAAGGCCAGAAACAGCAAACCCACAACTAACATCATACAGATTGGGAAAAGTTGTAAACTTTTTCTCTAAGATCTAGAACAAGACAAGGATGCCCACTTTCATCACCTTTATTCAACATAGTACTGGGAGTCTTAGCTGGAGCAATTAGGCATGAGAAGAAAATAAAGAACATCCACAGGAAAGGAGGAAATCAAATTATTCCTATTTGCAGATAATATAACATAACCTTACATGTAAGAAAACCCTTATATAGAAATCCCTAAAAGCTGCTCCAAAAACTCTTAGAGCTGATAAATTAATTCAATAAAGTTTCAACATACAAAATCAGCACACAGAGATCAGTAGCATTCCAACACACCAATAAGGAACTAGCAAAAAAGAAGTCAAGAAAGCATTTACAATAGCTACAAAAATATACCTAGTAATAAAATTAATCAAAGAAGTTAAAAAAAAAACTCTACAATAAAACTATAAAACACACTGATGAAAGAAACCAAAGAAACAAAGACACAGAAAGACATCCCATGTTCATGAATTGAAAGAAATTTATGATTATGAATTCCGTGATAATATTGTGAAAATGACCATACTATTCAAAGCAATATACAGTTTCAATGCAATCCCTATCAAAATATCAATGACATTCTTTACAGAAAAAATTTTAAAATTCTAAAATGTGTATAGAACCACAGAAGATCCTGAATAGCTAAAACAATCCTGAACAAAAAGGACAAAGCTGGAGGCATCAAATTGATGTATTTCAAAACATATTACAAAGCTATAGTAACAAAAACCAGATGGTGCAGGCATAAAAACAGGCACATAGACCAAGGGAACAGAATACAGAATCCAAAAATAAACCCACATATTTACAGCCAAATGATTTTCAACAAAAGCACCAAGAACATTCATTGGAAAGGAACAGTCTCTTCAATTAATGGTGCTAGGAAAACTGGATATCCTTATGCAGAAAAATAAAACTAGACCCCTATCTTTCACCATATACAAAATTTAACTCAAAATTTGAGACTTAACTGTAAGACCTGAAACTATGAAACTACTAGAAGGAAAACATAGAAGAAATGCTTTATTACATTAGTCTGGGCAAAGATTTTATGGAAAAGACTGGAAAAACACAGGCAACTAAAGCAAAAATAGACAAATGGAATCACATCAAACCAAAAATCTTCTGTACAGCAAAGGAAACAGAGTGAAGAGACAATCTGCAGAATAGGAGAAAATATTTACTAACTATTTATTGGACAGGAATTAATATCCAAATTATACAAAGAATTCAAACAACTCAACACACACAAAACCCACAAAATGAATAATTTGGTAAAAAATGAGCAAATGAGCTGAACAGACTCTCTCAAAAGAAGACATACAAATGGTAAGAGGCATATGAAAACATGCTCAACATTACTAATCATTAGGGAAATGCAAATCAAATTACAATAAGATATCATCTCATCCCAGTTAGAACGGCTATTATCAAAAAGACACAAAATAGCAAATGCTGGTGAGGATATGGAGAAAAAGGGATTCTATTTTTTTTTCTTTTTTGAGATACAGTCTCACTAGTTGCCCAGGCTGGTCTCAAACTCTTGGGCTCAAGCAATCCTTCCACCTTAGTTTCCCAGAGTGTTAGGATTACAGATGTGAGCCACTGCCCCTGACCAAAGAGCTCTTATTCACTGTTGGTGGGAATGTAAGTTAGTATACTCATTATGGAAAACAGTATAGAAGTTCCGCAAAAAACTAAAAATAGAACTACCATATGATCCATCAATTCCATTACTGGGTATATATCCAAAGGAAATGAAATTGGTATGTCTAACAGATATCTGCTTTCCCGTGTTTATTGCAGCAATATTCACAATAGCCAAGATATAGAATCAATCTAAGTGTCCATCAATAGATGAATGGACAGAGAAAATGTGGTATATATACATAATAAAATACTATTTAACCATAAAAAATAATGAAATTTTGTATTTGCGGCGACATAAATGGACTGGAGGTCATTATGTTAAGTGAAATAAACCAGGCACAGAAAGACAAGCATCACATGTTCTCACTTATTTGTGGGATCTAAAAATCAAAACAATTAAACTCGTGGTGATAGAGAGGAAAAGGATGATTACCAGAGGCTGGGAAAGGTAGTGGCACAAGTAAATTCTCACATCACCCATCCAAATTATTCATTTTAGCAACTTTTATAATCAATATTGATTACTGCAGCCAAGTTGATTGTATGAGAATCTGCATCAAATATTAAGGCTGAACAAACAATTTGCCACAATAGACATTTATTTTTGGTGTACAGATCCATTCAGTAGGTCTTTATTTAAGGTCATTAAAAAATAAGACTATGGATCTTTTTTTTTTTTTTTGTGAAGATGACTCATGGGAGAGGTGTGAGACTAAACCTACTCAGGCATGACCTTTTTAGACAGGCAGGAAAATGTACTTCTAACAATAGTGATATCAACCTCCATTTGCATAGCAAGATTTTCAAAGGTCCTTCTACTATTTCCTATTATTCTCGTGACAATTCTGTTATTTAGACAACACAGTTATTCCTCTCTTCATTATGCAAATGATGAAACCAAAGAAAGAGAGATTACACTGAAAACATGGTCAACAAGAAAATGTAATTCCTTTAACTAAGACCTCAGCACACTCCAGTACCTAGCATGCTTACTTAATACCACTGAAGAACTCTACTTCTCTGAGTGCCATGTCTTTAGTAACTATAGTATAAATTGTCTCAAAATTCATTCAATTACTCTCAGGTTTCCCCATATGCCTTTCCTTCTTTAGGCATTTCACTTAGAGTGGAAACAATAAACCTCCAAGTTTGGCTGGCTTGAATCATGTATAAAAGAAAATGGTTCCATTGATTATTAGGTATAATGTGAGATATTTGCCAGAACGGTTTGACTACTACTGACTATATCATTATTTTAGTTCTTTGTATTTTTAGTGATCATTTTTTGCCTTTATTATTTGCTCAACTATATTGCTAATTCCTCATGAACCATTGTTAACTCTTAGAGAAGAAATGATAATTTATACTTTGTATTCTTAGCACCTATGCTTAAACATAGATGGTCACTAAAAATAAATGCTTGTTGATAATTTTATGTAGAAGATAATTTAATATATGCATATAATTGGGAGCCAACAGTTCCCAAATGAATAAAAACTGCGGGAAGAAAAGCTTCTTTCAGGTTACTAAATCTACCATACAACTTAGGCATTGCTCACCATCTGCTGTATTTAAGCTTTTTATATTGTATCATGTTTCATACAGGAAATGTCACTGTAAGACTAACTTCATGATGTTTTCCTTCATTTCAATATAGTATATTTTGATCTATTTGAAGTTCATTCATCCAACAAATACTTACCAATCTCCCTTTCTATGCCAGACACTGGATATGAGCTCAGCCCATAGAAATATGCATAAAATTGGCCTGGACTTTAAGAAACTTTACATTTTATAGTTAATTTAAAACATGTGCATTCTCTATTTTTAAAACATGTACATTCTATTTCTATCTCTTCTCAATTCCCATTTCTCCTTAACTTTTTTCGTATTTGTTTATCTAGTCCAGCAGCAAATAACAAAAAGGCTTCTTTTATTGAATACTCACTGAGTAGCTAGCTGTGAGGAACTCTGCTAAGTGCTCTTAGCACAATGCCTTGTTGAATTCTATGTAAGCCCTGGAGCAAACCTACTTGGTGTTATTATTATCTGTTTATTTTGCAGTGGAGAAAATAAAAGTATAGAGTAGTCTAATGATTTGCATACGATCCATGGCTCACGTAGGGGAGCCAGGATTGAACCCAGATTTGTTCTCTTCAAATTCCCTTCACTTGCCCATTGTGATGGGTATACTAAGAATGAAGTAAATGATTTATACAACTGTTGGACTTTTGTGGCTTGCACACTTTTTCTTTTCCTGATGTATGTGAATCAATAGAAACACATGTAGAGAATAGAAGGAATATAGAGAGGGGCTTGAAATAATATCCACATGGGCTGAAGGAAGTGAGGCTGTTCAGATGGAAAAATAAAACCCTGTGAAGGAATATAACATCTTTCTGCCTTCAAGGATGTCATGTGAAAGAGGAATTTTACTTGCCTGTTACCGTAACCACAGAGCTAAGAGAGGGTCATTGTTAAAAGGAAGCAAGTTTGGGTTCCATATGAGGAAGGATTTTTATAATAGAATTGTTGTAGAATAAACTAATTCAGAAAGAGGAGAATCCAATTTGTAGAGATGTTCAAACATGACAGTATTACGGAGGGGCCTCAGCAGGATGGGGAAGTGAAAGAGAGATTGTGACTGTAGCTCTGCCTCTGAAGGCTAAAGAGCAAAAGAAATTGGCAGTCTTACACAGCCCCCAGGATCAGCCCCATTGAGCAGCAGAGTTCACTGTTTCATAGAAAGAGGAGTAAGGGGGCATATTTCTGGTTGTAAATGAGATACTTATAAGAGACATACACAGATTTGCCTCCCTTTTATATAGAGATAAGTTTCTTGAGAAAACATTTATGATTAATGTTACATCTAAGATATGCAACGAGGGACCCAACATTTTATAGCATTTTGCTTAAAAATCCTTAAGCCTTACTTTTATTGAAAGGTTAGCCCAACTTAGTAGTAGAAGTTTATATTAGTTTCAAAGGGTCTCCATGCATAAGATGAGGTCTAATGAAAAGGCAAAAATTCCTGTTCCCTAGCTGCTGGTGGTATTGAGGGTGACACACACACACACACACACACACACACATTTTGCACCAATGCTTATTTTGTTTGCCCTTCTGGCTCTCTATTCTTTCTGTATTAAACTCGAGGTCTGTAAGGAAAAGGGCAAGCTATGAGTACATATTGGCGAGTACATTTATATTTCTCATTTTGTAAAGACACAGAAGCTGAGATCACTGCATATCAAGTTCCAGGCAGAGGGAACTTTCCTTGCCAAAGTTAAAATCTGCTAAACCTGAAGATTGGGATTGAAATGACTCCTTAGTGCCAAATAAAGTTATAGGGTCATTGACATCTTTTAGTAATAGGAGACAGCAAAGCCCTATGGACCACATTCAAAGTGTACGCTCTTCCCTCTCTGCTTTGTCTCCTTAGTTCCAGAGATTCCCACTGGAGCACACAGGACCTGATCCTCATTTGACCTGTCTCCCTGGGGAGCTTTTCTCTGGGTAGAGGTTTCTTTAACTTCAAAGAAACTTCAAAGACAGAGAGAGGAAAAGAGCTGATGGGGTTCTCTAAACCTGCCCTCTTCATTGCCTATGAACTACTTCAACAAGGACTTCTTAAGAATCTATAAAACATGTGTAACTCCTGGTTGCATTCTCTTAAGGAGCTTATACTCTCTGTGGAGGGACGAAATGTAGACAAATGACCTAATAAAAAGTGGAATGCACCCTAAAAGTAGAACAAAGAGCCACATGTTTTAAAATACAAAAGTAAGCTGGAATAATCATAGAAAGTTTTGAGCATATGGAATTTTAATTAAGATGCTGAATGATGGGCAGAATTTTGGTTTATAAAAAAGAGAGGAGAATGACATTTTAAAATGAAGAAAGAAATGGTCATAGTGTAGGTGCAAAGGTGAAATAAGAAGGCATTTGTGGTTCTTGTTCAGATTAGTTAAAATTTAGGGCTTATAAAGGGGAAATAAAACTTACACAAATTATGATCAGGATCTTGCTATGCATATGGGGATAGACACTGAACAGTTTTTAGGAAGGAAATCATAGTTTTAAAAGGAATGCTTTAGAGAGATTACTATAATAATCTTTATATTGCCATGGTCTTTTAAAATATGGTGGTGATTTTCTTTCTAACAGGAAGCCAGATTTCCTGTTGACAGTAAGGAAGGTGGGCATGCAATTGGGATCTTCAAAAGTATGAAAAATTTGGAAAGTTACTATGAGGATTTTAATCTAGTAGGAAAGAAATAAAACATTGCAATGAGATCCAAGCAGGCTGAGGTCAGAAAGCCCAGATTATGAAGCGCGAATTAGTAACTACCAGCATAATACTGTAGTTAGCAGTTCTGGAGTTGAAACATGAAAAGAAGATGGTGGCGAGCACTCAAGGTCAGGAATGTGCATGGCAAGTAGGTCAGAGAATAAAGAAGTCCTGGAAATTCTAGCATATAGAGAGGGCAGGATTGAGAATGGCTAAATGTTAGTTTCTTTTCCGGTGGAAAAGTAAATAAAGTGTATGTATATATTTACCATTTTTCTGAGCACCTATGTGTGTGAGGCAAGGTATAAAACCATTAATTTTTACAAACTCCATGTGTTAGATGTTGATGTTATCATGTTACAGACAAGGAAATAGAGAGTTGGAATGGGACTGGTATGGCTGGTACGAGATAGGATTAGGACTCTAGACCAGGCCTGCCTGGTTAGAAGAGAGTGGTTGGTTGTTTTCTTTGGATGGCAAGGTGAAGATAAATGGGTGAAGTGGCCACTTTTGGAGAAGCCTGGGTCAAGACATGCCAGGTGGCTCTTAGGAGGTAAAAGGAGGATTATACAATGAAGGGCAAGAGGAGCTCAACTACTGTTTTGGGTGACTATTCATGTCATATGTTAGATGTTAGAATAATACAATTCTCTAAAATTAATATAATACAAAATAGTAAATCTCAGGATCAGAGTGGCTTTCCAGAGGAATGCAAGTTAATACCCCAGTGTTATTATTGGCACCCCCCACAGTCCTGTGAAAGAAAGACTGCTCTGGCCAGCAGGAGGACACTAGAGTCAGTCACTCTTCTACAACCAGGGCCTATCCAAGAGATAACCTCAAACTGTGAATACAGGAGCCCCTCAGGCCATCTGCTTGAAACTCCTCTGGTAGAGTGTAGGAGAGGACACCAAACTGGGGTAAAAAGGAGATTAGGTCTAGGCTGGTGTCCTCGCCCTGGGGCACTGCTTGCTTGGCCAATCCCAGTCACTAGACAGGGATTTACAAAACATGGGGCAGGGGATTGGGAGAAGGAGGGCTGAGGCTTGATCCTTTCCTTGGGTCTGCGGTGGCTCTGCTGTAAGTGCAGCACTGTTTACTATAGACACTTCAGTGTTGAAAAGCACGTTTTCTCCTGTCAGAGAGAACTACTTTAGATTCCAATCCCTGTCACTCGCCAAATACTAGTTATGTAATTTTGAGTAAATTGCTTCCCTGGGTCTCAGCTTTCTCATTTCTGTAAAAGTGGGACTAAGATGTCTCTCTTGTCAGCTACTTGGTATTTGCCCCACAACTAATAGCACAGCAACTGGCACATTGCCCAAATCAAAAAATGGTAGCTTCTACTAGCTGACAATAGGTTATAGAAAAAGGAAGTAATCTATTTAATGATAGAAGTTTGCTTTAAAAATTCACATTACTTCACATAAAGTCACCAAATTAGATCATGGTAGGATCTCATTTTTATAAAGAAAAAAAAGGAAGATTGGAATAAAGTAAGAAAGAGTGTGGAAGGTGAATTAATGATTGTTCTTTTTGCTTTTTTTGTGTATATTTTCTGTTTTTTTTTTGTGTGTATTTTTGTGCTTATAATGACACTGCTTTTGTAATTTCAAAAAAGGCAACAGAATTAAATAAGAGCAATTGTATTGAAAAAGTGAAAATATAGCTTTAAAAAATATTTTTAGGTCTTTGTTTCTCACTATTCCCCATGTTTCAAATTCAAAATGCTTAGGAATTTAGAACATTTTTGGTTCATTTATAACTATATTATAATAACATATCTAGCAATTTTAAAAGAGATACACTTGTTCACATATACATTTATGACTCAATCTGTATTGCCTCAAATTTTCTCCACTCAAACACAACTGGTTTTGTTCTTTCTGTTCCACTCCATTGCTTGCCCATATATAAACAAGTACTACATGTTGTAATCATAGAGTGTATAGAGATGTTGTGTGCTTTTTTCACTTAACATTTTTCACATTGCCCCATAGTCTCCATATCCGTGACTTTTCCCGGCTGTTTAGTAATCTTCTATTAAGCACTGTGATGTTATTTGTTTCCCTAAGTTTGAACATTTCAGACACTTCCCCATTTTAAAAGCATGGACTAACCACACAACCATAAAGTTTTGTGCAAATATATAAAAACCTTTTTCTTCTGGTGAACTGTTTCCTTAGAATAAAAATTTTTCAGAGATACAAGTAATATTTTTCTGGTTATTAAAATTTATTTCCAAATAGTTTTTCAAAACGTCTCTATAGATTTACAAATACACTCGCTTGGCAGCTGTGGTAGTTTGTTGGTCTTCTGGTCCAGTCTCACATTCTCCTTATTATCATTTTAATTTGTATTTCTCTGATCACTAGCAGGTTTAAGCATTGTCACTTCCATGCTCACTTTTTATGTTTCTTCTAGTAGCTCTGACATTTGGAAATAAATGCAACCTTTTCAAGTGTAAGGGAAGCAGATGAAGTTCCTTAGTCATCGTTTTTTTTTTTTTTACTTGTTTTAAAACTAACAAAAAGTATTCATTCTACTTTTGAATTGTCCCCAAAATGCCAAATGCGGCAATTGGAGATCAGAAATAAAAAGCAAATCCATCCATTGTTTTGCTTTTGCGCCATCTCACCCTCAAAAAAGAAACTGAGGGCCTTGATATGTCCTTGCTGAACATTCTGAGACCCGAGGCACCAATTCCACAGTCTCCTGGAGGAACTGGTTGTTGAGACAGTCGAAACAATCATACTTTGGATAACGGATTGAATTACTAACCAGAATCAACCATTTATGGGCCAGTTAGTTTGGTTGTTATAGCAACAAAACTTGATTTGGCATTCAGTTATTCAGTCAATAGTTCAGCAGCATTCAGCCAATGACCTGCAAATAGTACATGCTGTCGATAATGAAGGCTGCCTTTCCTTTCTCAATAAACCTTATGCCAAAGTCCATCTGCAAATGTTCAGGGGTTAGTATTTCGGGTTTGAAGCGTCTCTCCCTCCCCTTACCACCTGCCCCTGGAAATGGATCCAGGCCTTCTTCTGGATATTGGCATTAGCTTAAGTCAGAAATTATACAAAGATGTGCACAGCAGCATAGCTGGATAGAACGCTGTGTCACTCGTTAGATCCCAGCTTTGGGAAGCTGAGGGGATTTAATTTGCTTTACTCAGTTTTATAGGAGAACCAGAGAAAATGGCTGCCCTGGAGGATCAAGTAGTTTCTCTCCTTCCTGGCACTTCCTGAGTTTTGCTCTGTCTTACATTAATCATTCTGAATGTGACTCTCCCTCATGGCCCATTGAACTGTGGATCAATCACAACATTTTCAAAGTGCTGTAATTTCATACATATTTCAACACAGACCTAAGAGTTTCCATATACGTTGACCATTCCGGGCAAATGCTTCATAGACTAGTAACCTAATATGCTTAGTAATCCCTTAGGGAAGCAAGTGCAGTAGTTAGCTGCAGCTCTAGAGGTAAATCTCTACCTGGATGTCTGTTCCACTTGTAAGAAGTTTTACATTCTATCTTTAGGCAACTGTTACTTACACAATTACACAAAAATGTATAAAATTTTTCATCCAAGAACCTATTTTGAATTTACATTTAAAGTGTATATGCATGCATTTAAGAAGTCATAGAATAATAAAAAAAATTTTGGGGGAAAGCCACTGCTTGATTAAAGCCAACTTATAGGCTCCACCAACAATAAAGAAGCTATAAACATTATCTCCTGTTGCTCATGTGGCAACATTAAAAATGTGTTGCCACCTGACATGGTGGCTCACGCCTGTAATCCCAGCACTTTGGGAGGCTGTGGCGGGTGGATCACTTGAGGTCAGGAGTCAGCCTGGGCAACATGATGAAACCCCACCATTAATAAAAATACAAAAATTAGCCCGGTGTGGTGGTGGATGCCTGTAGTCCCAGCTACAGGCTGAGGCAGGAGAATCGCTTGAACCTGGGAGGCAGAGCTTGCAGTGAGCCAAAATGGCTGCTCTGTACTCCAATCTAGGTGACAGAGTGAGACTCCATCTAAAAAAAAAAAAATGTTGCACCGAATCTAATATATCTTCCTGTGGGTGCTTCCACAAGCTATGGTATATATAATCTAGATTTATGTTCTATTTTTTAAAAAATCTAAATAAAATTTTATTTTAATGTTTTGATAGGTCATTTTATTTTTGCTAATCTTTCTGCAGAAAGACAATGCTGCCAACAAACCATCAACCAATGTATGATGTACATTTTGAGGGCATCTATTTGCTTTTCCAGTAGTAGGGATGGCTTTGATTCTTTTACATATTATTCTACTTTCTGTCTCCAACCAAAGTATACATAGGGGAAATGCTCAACCAGAATTTAAAGTACAACACAGCTAACTGACCCACAAAATGATTGAACCCAGAACACCAGCTTGATCAGTATGCCAAGTCAGTTTTCTGTTACATGGTAGCCTTTTAAATAAAGAACATGGCAAGCTGGAGTTGGTTAGTCAAACTCATTTTCCTTAAATCAAGGAAGAACTAATAGTCTCTTGTAATGAATGTCTCTTTTTTCCCATTTGCTTTGTTATTGACTACATGCCTGAACAATTTAGCAAATTTAATGCAGCAGATTTTACAAAGAACTTTTTTTGACCTGTCATAATATTAAAAAGCCGAGTTTGGGTAATAGTTTCTGACTATTTTGATAAAGGGATTATATTTTTAAACTCACAGGTAATAACTCTGTAGCTTTCTTTAGTCCAGAATATCTAATCATGGAAGATCTCTGGAGACAGAAAGAAGATTTCTAGATATGAGTCCCTCCGTTTTTTAAAAGGACACATTCTATTTTTATAAACAAGTCTCGAACTGAGGTCACAGATAGAGTTTCAAGAGTCAAGGTCATCCAATTTGGGGCTTCAATTTTTGATGTTAAGTTCCACAGTTGATACTGATATCCATTTCCCTCTCCATTTTTGTCTCCCTCTCTTGGTTTCTAAAATTGTTTTCAGTATCAGGTGTTTTCTTTTGTCTTTTCTTGCTGCATTTGGAATGAGGCTAACTTCCTTCTGGCCTTAAGACTGCCTGTAGGGAGGGATTTGCACACAGGGTTGGGCAACCTCCCCAAACAGGATGATGAAAATTCCCTCAAGCCCTTCTTCTAGGCAGGTTCCCCTGATATCCAATCTTCGAGTTCCAGCCAAGTACAAAATGCAGATCTCTAAACACTTGATTCTTTCTTTGAAGCTATCTGCCCTTGCCCATATCATTTTGCATTCCAGGGTAGAGAATAAAAATTCTTTTTGGTTATAACTGAGAACATGAAGTGTTTGGTTTTCTGTTCCTGTGTTCATTGCTGAGGATAATGGCATCCAGCTCCATCCATATCACTGCAAAGGACATGATCTCATTCCTTTTTATGACTGCATAGTATTCCTTGGTGTATATATACATTTTCTTTATCCAGTCTATTATTGATGGGCATTTGGGTTCCATGTCTTTGCTATTGTGAATAGTGCTATAATATACACGTGCATGTATCTTTATTATGGAATGATTTATATTCATTTGGGCATATAACTAGTAATGGGAGCTGAACAATGAGAACAAATGGACACAGGGAGGCGAAAAACACACACTGGGACCTGTCAGGGAGGAGTGGGAGGGAGAGCATCAGGATAAATAGCTAATGCACGCACGGCTTAATACCTGAGTGATGGGTTGACAGGTGCAGAAAATCATCATGGTACACATTTACCTATGTAAGAAACCTGTACATCCTGCACATACATCCCAGAACTTAAAAGGAAAATAAAATTAACTTTTTTAAAAAAATCAACAAATACATATTCATTTAAATGGGAAAAAATATTTTTTGTTTAAACACTCTCCTGTCCATGTTCAGTCTTTTCATTCCTATGTCCTTTCCATGATTCCTTCTTTGGATCTGAACCACTCCAAAAAAAGGATGGTGCCGGGCATTTGATATTCATGGCTTATATATCATGACCATTTAACCATGTCATTTAGCTACTTAGGTCAGTCATTAGTCTTATCAGTTTAGCTGATGTATTTTAAAGCTTTCAAATCTTGTTTAGCTTTAGTTTCCGCTAACATAAAGAGAAAATATGGGCAGATATGAAATGCAGTGCTACAGATAAACGGATTTATTTAAGAGCCAAGTAGAAGAAGATGACTTTTCTTTCCAGTAAACGTCTTACCTGTTCTAAGCTCCCAATGAATTTTAGTGTGATCATGTGGGCAGATGAGTGATCTAACACATGGTGTGACCGTTTTCAAAACAAACATATACGGATGATTCAGGGTTGATAACCAAACATGCTCTCTTCTTGACATATCAGACCACTGTCAGAAAAGAAAAAGGGCTTACTTTGGAAAGAGACCTCACTTTTTGGCCCCACTCTCTGATGATGAAAAGCCCTTTATGTTGGAATTGTCCTTGTTCTGCTTCCAGTTGCGTGACCTTGAGCAAGTCACAACCTCCATGTTTGTTTATTCAACACTACATGAGTAAATTAGATTTTCATGACCCTTTCAGTTAAAGAATCTAGAACTATATATAGAGCAAAGAATCCATAAATTCAGAGGTAATGAAGCCATTTTATTTTTCATTGTTCGTTTGTCAGCCACAAAATTAACATGAGTTGGGTTGGTGTTAAATAGAAGACCCAGTCCAAGTGAGATTAACTGAGACTAAGAGTTAAGTGTACACCCAGTCGACCTCTGAGTACTCACTGATCAGTGCTGCTCCGTGAATGCACTTTCCAGAAACTTAACACAGCATGTTGTGCTCATGAACCCATCAGCCAACTGAATATCTCCTAATAACAATGAATGGCCAAGCCATTTCCACCTTTCACAAGTTACTTTAACTCTTCTTTCTTAACAAGAAGGAAACACTACGGCATCCAAGACATTGCTTGGGCCAGTGTGTTGGATGCATTTGTTGTACTACATTTTTAATGATCAAACTGTGAAAAGTTCTTGGCAATAAAGCAGACTATGGAACACACAGGAAAATGTGATTTTTAAGGGCAAAGAAAAATCTCCTTTCTTTTTTACAATAGCAAAATATTTTGGGTCAGGTTCTTTGACTAAAATTCAATTCCCCAAAAGCCTCTAAAGTTTTTTCATCATTTAAAAAAAAATCAGAAAACATTTCTATTTAAACAGCACAACTCTAACTCCAATAGAACCTGCATAGTTTTCCCAACAACCCTATCAATGCAATAGTGTTATGCAGTCTGGGAATAAATGAAATTCATTTTTAGCGTCACCATAGTCTTAAGCCAAGTGATATTGCCAACAATGCAGCAAAGATTAGCTCTAATGGAGAAGAAATGACAGCCTGAAGAATTTCTTCTCAAATTTCTTCCAACTGTCAGTGAGTCAAAACCACAAAGAGTAACTGATTCAACAGCCCAGAAAGAGATGAGGAGCTGAAAAACTTCCAATACCTGTCAAAGAAACTTGTAGTCTTTCTTACATTTTGAAATTAAGTTTTACTTATGTCAACCCCATCAGCACAAAGGAATAAACTAACACTCTGTTTATATGACACCACACCAACCAGGCAATTCAGTGGGCAGTGAACTCAAATCCTTTGATTGACTCAATTTTTTACTTTCAGTTTGCTATTTCATTATATTTAATTGGCCACAATCTTAAAATGGACATATTCTTTCAATACATTCATGTGGTATTTGATCAATAACAACTTTCTGCCCCAGTTAGTCCCAGAGATTGCAATAACATGCTTTCAGTTCTTAATCTGTGTTAATCATCTAAATAAAAATCAATGCCTGCAATTCTATATTTAGAAGTAGCACACAAACTTTGTTGAAAATTGTACTTATAATCTTCTATTCAACATGGAACAACCTATGTTGTTTACTGTCGTGAGAGTTTGAGTTAGTAATCAAAATATCCAACCCACTTCATTGAGCCAACTTTATTAATGTCTCTGTGCTGAGAGAGATTGAGAAAAAATCAATTTAAGTCTGGTGAATTTTTTACTGATAAAAAATTTTCCCACTTTTGAGAATTAATCTTTTCTAAAAGACACTACAGAAATGTACTCCCATGAATGATCATTACATGTATAAAAATAGTTAAATATGTACTAAATGAGAGAAAGTGATTTGAAATAGTCCCCAGATATTTGAAGTACATTTTTCCCCAATGGTAATAATCCACTTAGGTTATAATTGCTTAGCTGAACTGAATTAGTTAAAAACAGAAGCTATTTTTCAGGGAAAACAAACTGCAATGGCTCTTAATTGCTACTAACATTTGTTAATAGTTTCAGTTTATTTCATATGGATTTTTATTTTCTTTTTAAAATTAATTTTTTTTTGTATTTTTATTGGCATATCATAGTTGCACATATTTGGGGGTACATGTGATACTTTGATACGTATATCCAATGTGTGATGATCAAGTCAGCGTCATTGGGATATCTACCACCTCAAGCATTTATCTTTTCTTTGTGCTGGGAACGTTACAATTCTCTTTTAGCTATTTTGCAGATTTTTATTTTCAAGGGTATTATTTGGAAAGATGTCATTTTGTCTGGCCTAAGCCAAAATAGCACTTCTAGCTGAAAGCAGCTCTCAAAATCAGTCATGATTACCCATAGGAAATAATTATTTTATTGGGGTTGGACTTTGTAGATTCAACTACTTTAGAGAGAGCAAATATCCCACCACTGCATAGGATGATACAGACAACACCCAAAAAGAGAAGGACAGAGAATTCTTACACGTTAATGGTCTAGTCACATTTTATTTCCTTTCCTTCTATACATGCCCCAAATCATACAACAGGGACAATACTCACTACAAGAAAACTATATCCATGAACCTCATTCTCATAGACACAACTATCAAATGACCTTATGTCAGAGAATAACATGTCACCAGTAATGAAGGAGGCAAGGATTGTCAGCAATAGCTTGTACCTACTGAAATATCCATAGACATTATTGTGTTATTGTAATATTTTGAGCATATTCTTTTTAATTAAAGGTGAAATATTAGTTCTGCACTTAAAATACATATCACAACGTATTTGGAAACATTGTTACAGTAAATGATTCCAGATGTTCTCTGACAAGTCATGAGAGCCCATTTGAGAAAAATTGATATACAGTAATGTATGTGTGTGTATAAGTTAAACTGTGTTTACATATACATTTATGTATATCATATACAGGCAGACAGACACACACCCATATACATTCATACACAATGACAAGAAAATAAACCAGAGTAAATGTGGAAATTTGGGGAAAGAAATTGATAACTCTCCATAAACAATTTGCTAAAGTAAATCACTGAACTTAATGGTTGAAATGAAACACACAAGGGAGCAATTAGGTAGAGTAATGCAAAGGCAAATAAATAAGACCAAACTTCAAGCAAATATAATGGTTCTTCAATGCTGCTGATAAGTTTCAAGACAAGTTAGCTTGACTAGTTAAATCTCAGGAAGGAGCAGTATCATGAACATCTTCAGAATCTAGATGGAGCTATAAGTCGATAGTATTCAAAATCAAAAGTAAATATGGGGAAAATAAAACTTTACAAAGTAACTTCAAATAGACTCAGAACAAATATTAAGGTTTAATATTTTTACAAAGAATTAATAAAAGAACTAAAATATGACAATGATCATTTAAATTAGTAGAAAACACTGACTTATATTTTCTAAGTTCAATATTTAATTATCTTCTCCAAGACACATTTTTTAAAAGTTTGGGATACTTAAGAAAGATGAAAAGACATTAAAAAGCATTTTAATATTTTAAAGAAGGTATTATTCTTTTAAAATGACACCGATTTTTTTTTCTGACTGTAAGAGGAATAATGGCTTATTGTAGAAAATTTAGATGACTAGAAATGAATAAAACTAAAATTCGACACTCTGTAGGTGGAAATATCCAAAGCAATAAATAAATTGTATATGGATTGGAATAAAAATAACTATATATATATATAGATTGAAAAAGAACAGATAAAGACATTTACTTGGAAGTATGTGAACTAATACAAGAGTCAGCAAGGTGGGCCAGGCAGAATATTAGCATACAAAAATTAATAGCTTTCTATTACACAAACAAAAACAGATTAGATATGTATTATACTTTTAAAATATCTCATTTTCAAAAAGCAGTAAATCTTTTTCAAGTTATAAATAAGTAACAAGTTATGGCATAATCTATAAAGCTTTTTGAAGGCCTTAAAAGAGAAACAAGTGGAACATAAAATGTATTTAATCAATAGGAATGCTCAATGTTGTATCTTAATAACTCAAATTTCATAAAATAAATGAAATCCCAATCAAGGTCCCCCAAGGTATTTCATGAAACTTGATAATTTGATTTTAAAGTTCATATGGAGGAGCAAATACTTAAGAATAAACTGAGGCAGGAGAATGGCGTGAACCCGGGAGGCGGAGCTTGCCGTGAGCCCAGATCACACCACTGCACTCCAGCCTGGGTGACAGAGCGAGAGTCTGTCTCAAAAAAAACAAAAACAAACAAACATAAAAACAAAACAACAACAAAAAAGAATAACCAGGATAATCTTGAAATTGAAGAAAGCAACAAAGTGATACATTCAACTAGACACCAAAACAAAGTATAGAGATGTAATTAAAGTAATAACAAAGCAGCATGGTACAAGACAACATGAATTAATCTATATATCTGAGTTGAGTTCTGAACTTTCCATTTTGGATATATGGAAAGTTGTTAACTTTACTTAGGTGTGTGTGGTAATTTAATGTACATCCAAGGCCAGCATTTCAAATGAGTGGGAAAAGATGATAAGCTGAATCAATGTTTTGGGAAAATGAAAGGATGTAGAAGTGGAGTTCTACTTCAAATCATAAAATGAAATAAATTTTGGCTGAATTAAATAAAAATATTCATTCTTAATAATGAATACAGTGCAGTGTATTATGGTTTTACAGGTAAGGAAGGCTTTACTTAGCAAAACACAAAAAACAAATCCCATAAAAAGAAGAATGACATATTTGTCTAAATTGAATTTTAAAGTTAAGTGAAAAAATAATCATTACCTTCGGAGCATGTCAACATGTATACAGATAATCAATTATTATTCAGTAAAATATGATGTATTTTATACCTATATACCCTTCAAAGTCAATAAACTAAAGACAAACAACACAGCAGAAAAATGGGCAAGGGATACAAACAAGTACATAACTGACTAGTAAACATAAAACTATGTCCTACTTTACTAACAGTTAGAAAAGTTACAATTAAAATGATTTACCATATTTTAATCTCACAGAGAGGCCAATGCAAAAGTTTAATAATATCAACTGTCAACAAGGAATTAGGGCAATATGTGCTCTTTGCACAGCAAAGGACAGTGCGAATTGGCACAGCCATCTTGGTGGACAACTTGGCAAGCTCTGTTAAAATTGGAAATGTGTGAACCTTAGATTTGTTTGTAGAATAAAAATTGAAATCAAATCGAATAGCCATTATTGTAAGGATGGGAACTAAAGAATGAAGTAGATTTTTTTCGTATACTAGCATGACAAATCTCTTAAGTCATGGTTAGGTAAAAACAAAAAGGACAAAAATCAAAACAATGAAAAGCAGATCACAAATGAGTATACTACAATATGATATTTTGGGAAAAATACAATGAAAAACAAAACTGTATAATTTCACAAATGTAAATACAAAGAAACATTCTAGATGGATGCACATGAACTTCATAGCAATGAATTTTATAACAATGATACTCCTATGGAGGATGAAAGGGGATCAAGACATGGAATAAGGCCAAACATAGGGAAATTGTATCCTAGGATGCCTGGGACAATCCACATTTATTCTTGTTTCAATTACTCGTTGACTTCCTTATTCCCCAATTGCTTTTCTTTTTTACACCATTAGTCCTACATTATACTTTTGGAACAATAAGAATAATAACTAGCATATATTAAATGCTGCCAGACATTATTCTAAAAGCGGCTGTAGATCAATTTATTTATGTTCCACGTAAAGATTGTATTTTTCAGGACAGCTATAACAAAATTTCTCATCCTACATGCTCTTATAACATGATGTTTACACCCATCTCCATCCCACTGAGAGGCAGGATCCGTGTTCCCTTTCCTTAAATCTGAGTGAATCTGTGACTACAGTGAAAGTGACACAATGCAACTTCCAAGACTAGATCATAGGGATAGTGCAGCTTTCACCTGGAACTGTTAGAACATGTTCTCTTAAAATCCAGCCACCATGCTGTGAGGAAGTCCAGGCTGCATAAAGAAGCCACTTCTAGCTGTTCTAGACAAAAATTTCAGCTGATCTGTATCAATTATCTATGGTTCCTGATAAGTTATTTCAAAATTTAGTGGCTTAGAACAACAGCAATTGCTTTACTATTATGTCTCATGGTTTGAGGGGTTGACTTGGCTTAGCTAGGCAGTTATTACCCAGGGTTTCTTATGCAGTTGGAGTAGACAGTGCCTGGGCTGTGGTCATCTCAAAGGCTCCCCAACTTATATGGCTGACACTTAATAGTGGCTATTGTCTGGGACTTCGTTTGGAGCTGTCTGCTGACCTATACGTCTAGGATTCTTTATGGTGGCTGGGTTCCAAGAGTGAGCATCTTAAAAGAAAGCCAGGCAGGAGCTGCACAGTCTTATGAGCTAGGCTTGGAAGTCACCTACCTCCACTTCTGTCATTCCTTATTGGTGAGACAGTCAGAGTTCTTCCCAGGGTCAAGGAGAAAGAGTATATATTCCACTTCTTGGAGAGGGAGTAGCAAAATCACACTGTAAGAAGAACATGAAGGATGGGGGATATTATTCTAAGCATTTTAGGAAAATACAATCCACCACAGTCCACAATAATGCCATTATCATATCCACCTTACAAATGAGAAAACTGAAATGCAAACAAACAAACAAAAAAAACAGTAAGTTCATTTGTTCACAGACACATGTCTAGTATGTGTTAGAGATGAGATTTGAACTCAGGCAGTTTGATTCCAGAGCCTAAATTATTGATCTCAGTTTTGTGCCATGCTATCCACTCTAGTAGAAGCACATTTTGAGGTGAGCATATATGAGAGAATTTGATTCCACCACATTTAACAAATACTGAGATAATATATGTAAAACATTTAGAACTGATCCTGGTGCATACAGGCTTTCAACAAATATTAGTTATTTCCCAACTGGAAGATGAGGATTCTTGTTACACACGGGTATGTATAGAAGGTGAGACGGGAATGAAGGGGAAGAGATGTTCCAGGTAAAGAAAAACTATATTAAATTGGCTTGAAGAGTAGATGGTTTTTTATTATATCATAGAAGTTTTCAGCAGGTTGAAAGTCTCCCTACTACAGCCATAACTAATTTTGGTTCCGACCAGAGGATAGAGAGGCATTTTTTTAAATATCTGTGTTGTGTCAGGCACTGAAATAGCTGCTAGACATTCATCATCTCATTCAAGAGAAGAAACAAAAGGCTTCTAGCTGGAAGAGATTTACAATTTAACTACAAGAAAAAAAAGTCAGGATATTTTATATTTCATCAGTAAAACCTTCCTTGATCCTACCAGCAGGAATTAACATTATCTTCTGAATACTTTACAGAACTTTATTTGTGTTACTATAATTATAATGTTTTCTAATTTAGCATTTAAGTGTAGTTTGATCTCCCTCTGGGCCAAAAAAAACTAAGCTTTATTCCTCTTCATGTTGCCTACAACATCTTGCATATAGTTGAGTTTCACTTAAAAGAAATAAAAATTGAAAAAATGGCTTGGTTTTGAGCATAAACTTACATAAAGATCTAATACCTTGAGTCTTTAGTAAATCTCAATAATATTTTATAGTTTTAAGCTTAGAATCTAGACAAGTTAAATTAATTTCTTGATATTTTTTGTTTCATACTATTATAATAATTTCACTTTTTAAAAAATTGTGTTTTCCATTTGTTGCTAGTATGTGAAAATTTAATTGATTTTATATATGGACTTTGTATTCATATATTAATTCTGATAATTTGTCTTTAGTTATTTTTGTATTTTCTATGTATACCAACATTTCATCCATGAATAACAGCAGTTGTATTTCTTTCTCTAATTTTTATTCATTTTATTTATTTTTATATTCCTTACTGAATTGACAAGGACTTCCTTTACGTTGTTGAATAGAAATTATCATAGTAGGCATTCTGTTTTTTTTTCATGAGGAAACCTTTTAGTATTTTGCTACTAATTATAATGTCTGCTCATGTTATTTTGTAGATTTCTGTTGTGAAATTAATAATGTTTCCTCTATTTCTTGTCGGTTCAATGAGTGTTGAATTATGCCAAATTAATTTTTTGCATCAAGGTGACTATGACTTTTTTTCTTTCCTCTGTTAATGTGGTGAATTACATTAATTTATCTTTTAAAAATGCTAAACTACCCTTGTCTCTGGGGAAAAACATCTTAACATGGTCTGATATATGTATGTATGTGTGTATACACATATACAAACATAAATTCATGTAGATTTTCATATATGTATCACAGAATTTTATTTGCTAGTATTTTGTTTAGAATTTTGGCATCTGTGTGCTTGAGAGAAATTGGCTCATAGTTTGTTTTTTTTGTAATGCTCTTGTAAAGGTTGGTATTTAGGGCATGTTGGTCTCATTAAAAGAGTTCAGCTACATTATATTTTTCAAAAGACACAAAAGGAGAATTTTTAAAAGCCACAGAAGGGGAGGTACCGTTTTCAAAATATACAACTGATAAGGGATTTATACACTGAATAGAGAACTTCTGAAAATCAATAAGAAAAATAAGATTAAACATTATAATGGAGGAAAAACATGAACAGGCATAACACCAAATAGAAAAATCCTAATGACCAACAAACATATGACAAAATGTCAAACTTTAATAACTTTCTGGAAAACAGTAAGTTGAAACTAAAAGAAGATACCAACTACTGCACATATTCCCCAGACTGAAAAAACATTTAAAAGTCTGAGAGAATAACAAGTACCAAGCATTTTAAAAACTATGGAGTAAAAGGAATTATCATTTATGATTGGCAGATATATAAATTGATAAAACTGTTTTTAAAAAACTGGGAACATCACCTATTAAATTGAAACATACACATATCCCACAGCCCAGAAATTCTACTCCTGGGCATATACTCTAGAGAAATGTAATTATATGTGTGTCAGAAGAATGTACAAGAATATTTATACAGCATTGACTTGTAATAGCAACAAACTAGAAATAATCCAAATAGCCATCAACAGTGGAGTGGATAAATAAACATGGTAAGATTTCAAACAAATGAATAAAATAAAGCAATAAAAATGTGAAATTGGAGCAATATATAATAACAGAGGTGGAATTAACCAATATAATATCAAGTGAAAGAAGAAATCCTCAAAAGAATAGGCAATGAATACATAGGGATGGGGCTTCAGGGATGCTGTCAGTATTTATGTCTAATCTCATTTAGTCATTGTACTAAAGCTCACTTCATAATAATCAAGTATTCTGTACATTTAAATGTATTTTTCTGTGCATATGCTGTATTATACATGTGCCAAAATGTTTACACACATTTTTAAAAGAAAATAATGTACATTATATGTTTATGAAAGCACATACAGGCAATAACAGTGCTAACCTTCAGAGGTTAAACTTAGAGATGCATAACAAATATAATTGTGTCTGATAATGTATATCTTCAGCTATTTGTCATAATCTTCACTGATTTTTTTGAGCAGTGAACTTCTATGTCATGATGTAAATGACAATAAACTCAGCACAAAATGCAAGTTTTATTTCTTTAAGAAATTAACTTATTAATAAATATGCTAATACATAAGCATATATGCTTATATAATAATGGTTAATTTGTTCTTATTAACTCATACTTAATAATATAATTTAATAAAGACAAATTAACCATTAGGAAAAGGATGCTTTTTATAACTCAATTAAAAATAAGATGAATCCTATTAGTCTGAAAGAGACCACTATGTAATATTAGCCATGTATTCTGGAATATGTTGTATTTTGTTGGCACAAAATGAGTAGGAATGTAACTAAAGAGACATCTTTACAGGTCTATCCAGCCAAAAGCAAGTGTTTTTTTTTCTCAGAATTGAGTGAAATAGTTCTCTATATGTATTGAGATGTGCTTCTTTGTAGTTCAGGTATGCTTTTTGAGAAAGATCAGAAATACTCCCAAGAGAGCATGAACTTCAGAATCATGTAGAGATGGGACTCTGGGCAAGTTATTTCAGTTTTCTGAGCCTCAGTTTCCTTATTGTTAAAAAAGGAGATAAGATTAGGGAACGCTCAGGTTTGCTATGGTTATTTACACTGAGGAAATAAGATATGGCATATGATACACACATACTAAATGCTAGAAACTCGCTTTCCAGTTAGGGTCTTTTACAACCTTGTGACTCCATATCTAATATAAACGTAAAATCTTTGGTTTAGAATTTAATACATTCATGTTATACAAAATTCTTGCACCCAACCTCACTTTAGAAATTCTAGAAATAAGGAATAATATTAAAAATAAACTCATAATGTTACAGTCAGGCATTTTTACAAATAAGTATGTGTATTACAAACTTCAGTTTGAATCAAATTTAATGCATATATTGATTACCTTATACAAGCCATTTAGGAAGATGTCAAAAATATAACTTGAGGAAAATCTGATGATCTTCAACTCTATTTCAGGGCCAGGAGTAATGAGTTGTAAAAAACAAAACACAAAACAAAAACTGTACTTAAAATCATACAAAGTGGTTTCTATTCTTATGAATTTCACTAATCAGCTATGTGACCTTATACAGTTCATGTATCTTCTTTGAGTATGAGATTTCTTTACTCTAAAATGTGGCTAAATGCTTGCTTTGCTTTAAAACAAAAAACAAAACATTTTTTATAAGAATTTAATGAGAAAAAAGTGAAAATAGCATTTGATTAGGAATCTAAAGATCTTTGGTTTAATGAAAAAAATGAAAAAGACATTTGGTAATTTTGGACAAAAATAAAAGGAGTGTATCTACTTTAAATATTCAATGAATCTCCTTCAGAAAAAAAATTTCTAAAACACTGGAAGGGTAAAAACAAATAAACGTTTCAAAAACACTATGCTGTTTAGAGCTTGGTTTGCTTCATCATTTTCTCCCTGAAGTTTTTATTCTCCCCCACATAGACAAGAGTCAGGAGGGCACTCTTTAGGGGATAACAGCAAACCTTCCACATTGCAAGGCAGAAACCCAAGCCTGGCCCTGAGCAGATCATGAAGTCTCTCTAAACCTTGGTATTACATCTACAAAATCAAATGGTTAGGATACAATTCCTCCAAAGTTCTTTCTAACTCAAACTCTCTATGATTGCATTTGAGGAAGAGCTTCAATCATGGGACAATGACTGTCACTTTATATTAGCATAATAAAATCTCCTTGTGAACCAGATTTAGGATAAAATAAGAGTGAAACAGAACTTGAAATATTCGACAAACTTAATCAGAATTAGCAATTTTAATGCTTGCAAGTCCACAAAACATCTGTGCAAAGCTTTTCTCTAAATGAAACAGTCTACGTGAAAGCCCTTTGGAAGGCATAATATGCTATACAAATGTGAAGTATTATGAACATCATCATCTCCTTCAGTTGAGCCCATAGACTTGGCATAAGCAGCCCATACATTTCAGCTGTAACCAATCACCCTGGGTGGGCATGGCGGGGCGGGAGGAAGAGAAAAGGGAAAGTGGATTTGTTTCTCCTGCTTTGTAGTTTCTCCTTATTCTCTGAGCCTGTATGTCTGTGACATAGTATAAGCAGGTTTTTCTTGTTTATTTTTGCAAGCATTAAGAGGTGATTACTTTCTAATAGATAGACAAATAGCTAATCAAGTCTTTTTATGTGTTTAGTTTTAGGGAATAATCACTTTAAATTTGCATTTCTTTATTTGAGAGATTTTTAGACAAAGCAGGTGGTATGGTACATATTTTACCATCGTATCCAATATTTTCCATATGCTAGCTTATTTCTTTTCTAAAATAAACTGTAATTTGTATAAAATCCTTCTAATTGGTAAGTGCTTTAAAACAAGAATTGCTAGTTATGAGTCACTGCAATGATGTTAGACTGCGTGGGAGTTTTATCTGCATTTGGCCATAAGAGAAACTGAGGAGTTGACACAAAGAGCAATAACTAGACCTCCCAGCCAGTCTGCAGAATGCCAAATATTTGGAAAATAATAATGGTAGAATTATAATTTGGGAGATGCCTGAGAATGAACAAGCCTCTCTGCATAGATACCTAATCCCCAGCAAGTAAATTTGTGCTGTCTTAAAATCATATAACCTGGCTTAATGGCTTATTAGATGTTGCTTTTTAAATTGAATGTTGAATTGCATGAAGCTTTTAGAAAATAATTGTGAACAATTACAAATTAGGTTAAGAAGAAAAGGCAGGCCTAGCACTTGCTTAAAATTGTATTTTCATCAGATTTTATCTTTCTCATAAGAAGATAATTGCGTAAACATTGCATCTTGGCCTGGGGATTGAGGATGAGAGTGGCGACTGGAGAGAATCTTGCCTTTACGTTTTTCTTCTCCAATTTCCAGTCTTGGATAAGCCATTAGTCAAACTCCCTCATCGTAAGGGAATGATAATGTCAATATCAAAACTTCCAGAGCTGTTGATTTCCCCAAAGGCTTACCAAAATTAACTGCTCATCTCAGCTTGGGGTAGAGGATTTGGAGCTTGAAATACAAGTCTTTCTCAAACTTCAGCATTTCCCATGTATCCTCTGATAATTATAAAAGGAAGTCAACCAGTGCCGTTGGAATGCACATGATGTCAGTTGTTAAGTGATTAACAGTAATGTTTAGAGCTTCTGTGGCCTGGAGAGCTTTTAATGGCATTACGTAGCAAGTGCCATAGTATTACCCAGAAGGTGAAAGGAAGATCAAATTGGTGAGTAGGAGAATGAGGGCTGTTTCAATTTAAACTACAGCCAGAGAAACTCCTTTCTGCAATAAGAAACCCAATCCTTCACAAAGGCATGGAAGAGGAGAAAAGTTAACAACCAGTTATACTGTGGGCAGGGAATTTGTAGCACAAAGCATTACACAGTGATTCCCTGAGTAAACAAAAGAAACCTAAAAAACATCAGTGGTCAGAACTTTGAAGCAAGAGGTAGACATTCCAACACAGACTATGGCAGGGAAATAAGAACAAAATGAATCAAGCTTGAATCAATATAATTAATAAATTATGCTATCAGAACCCACTGCATCATTAAGATAGTTTATTACATACAACCTTCTATATGTAGCAGGGTAAAAATAATTTTAAAATTTGTTAACAGTAACAGCTAAATTTACTCTTAGGGTGAGAACAGCTTTTGTTAAGAAAATAACATTGTTAACTCACTTGGTATAGAAGGTGAAGTCCTGTGAACAGCGGAAGGAGGCAGCAAGCCATGAAGTCAAACTACTCTGCACAAGAAATCTTAGGAATGTTCAACCCTGGGAATGGTGAATCAGTAAAGAAAGGGATTTTAGAGGAGAGACAGAAGGCTAAAGTACATGGTGGGAAACTATGGTCGACAGATTCCAGCGAGAATCCCTGTGGGGAGGGGAAAATTGCCACCTGCCTTTTAAGAACAGAGATGCAGATAATCAGTTTTAAGTTGTTTCAGTTCTCCAGGCTGTTATCCCGAACCTGTCATACAGTCTGCTACATACAATTCCTTGCACAGAAAGTGTGTGGGGAATAACTGGCTGGGGATGGTGAGCAGGGCCTACAGAGGGTGAAGCAGTACAGAACCGTGGAAGCAGAAACTCAGAGCCAGGGTGACTCAAAGAAATGTAAATACATTCTTCCCAGCCTTCCCCTACCCCAAAAAATCTCTGGGGCCATGATGACAGCTTCCCATCTCCAGCATCCCAGTCTCTCTTCTCTGCATTGCAAGTGTGGAGAAGTTAATATCCTGGGGCCACTCTCAACCAGTGTGGGGTTTGGAGGCACGTGGATAAATGCCCAACCTTCCTTTTCTCTCCTTTGGGGGGTAAAGTTTGAAGTGTTTCACATAGTTTCTGAAAAGGTCTCCAGTGAGACTGAGCTCTGTCTGCCCACAGTGGCAACATGCTCATTAACACACTCTTTGGCTTTATTCCCTTTCCTGTCCCACTTTCTTTACTACTACACTTGTGCTTCCTGCCATTACATCTCATGAATACCTGCACCCAGTGCTTAACTTAGGGTCTGCTTTTGGGGAAAACCAAACTAAGACAGCCCCCCCTCGCTGTTCCTAGTCACACTATTCTAATCCCACTTCTGTTTCTTACCTTCAAAAAAAATTCTTTGCACAAGCAAGTATTTATACATATATGTATGTATGTTTATATATATGCATATATATGACATACGCTTTTAACAATTTCTCAACTATCAAAAATAGAAAAAGTCCATAACCTAAACAACAGCCTAAGATAGCTAAGTTTCTTTTATAAAAAGATACATCTGCACTTAAAAGAGAACGAATCTTACATGGCTAATCACATTTTAAAATCATGCATAATGCATGCCATTTGGCCTCCACTGTGTTGTCAACGGGTAGTCAAGGGCTCATGGTTCCTTAGTGGCTTGCTGTCTACTGTACTTATTTTATGTCAGCACAGTGTATAATTGATTGCACATACATGAAATATGTAGCACACTGGACTTCCAAGCAAGGTAGTTATTATATCTAAAGTAATAACTTCAAATACTTTAAAGTATTTGTTGTAAAAGATCGAAATTTTACATTAAATTGTCTTAAAATTAAGAACTTTAATAACATTTGATTTTAATGGTGCTATGTCTTAAAAGTTATTTTAGGCCGGGCGCGGTGGCTCACGCCTGTAATCCCAGCACTTTGGGAGGCCGAGGCGGGCGGATCACGAGGTCAGGAGATCGAGACCATCCCGGCTAAAACGGTGAAACCCCGTCTCTACTAAAAATACAAAAAATTAGCCGGGCGTAGTGGCGGGCGCCTGTAGTCCCAGCTACTTGGGAGGCTGAGGCAGGAGAATGGCGTGAACCCGGGAGGCGGAGCTTGCAGTGAGCCGAGATCCCGCCACTGCACTCCAGCCTGGGCGACAGAGCGAGACTCCGTCTCAAAAAAAAAAAAAAAAAAAAAAGTTATTTTAGTGTTCAAATGTTTTGTTTATTGTACTGACTATCCACGTGCTAAACCAGCAAATTAAGTTAGTTCTTTATAGCCTACTATTCCTTCTGTGGAACATGTGTTTTTCTCCAGCACATGGATGTGATATTTACTGTTAAACCTAGTACTTTTTGTTAAATTTTAAGAGATTAGTTTCTTGTGATCCTAATTTGATCTTATTACTGTTTGCCTAGAGTTGAACATAACCTTTCTAAAGTTAGATTCTAGGGTTAACGTGCTATGTGGATTTACAAATATGCACACATACACAGATATACATACACACACATACATACCTACTGTTTTATATTTACTATGGGAATTCAAAATGGAATGAATGTCAGTTGGATCAGTAATCCAAGAATAACAATTAGTAGAATTCTCTTTTATCATTAAGTTTTGCAGGCAACTTACATTCAATACAATTATACTCAGATGACTGAGTATCATAGGAACTACTTTTTTACCTCAGGGTGAGTCAACTTATTTTAGAGGGGGATGTACAAAATCAGCTATGTTGTCATGGTTTTTTGGCTTCTTTGAGTTCTTGTGAAATGTCTTTGTATTTTCACATGATGTATCTTCACATTATTTTTAAATGCTGAGCAGAACATGAGATCATAGCTGCAATCAGAAACAAATATCAGGAACTCGTTTTAATGTCCTCTCTATAGCAGGTGAACACTTCAAACTGTGTATTATTTTCCATCTAGAAATACTTTCAGCTTGTTTCCCTAATTAGCAATTTTAGTGGCATTCCTTTTTTGCCATCCCGCTGATATATTCTGTGCACGGATTTCTTTCTATGCTTCCTTATCAAAACTTGATCTCAAAATATATCTGGATCTAATTCACTCTAATATGTGACTTAGGGATGTAATTTGTTTTCTGGAAATTTGAAAGTCATGGGGGAAAATTTGCTTGGAGCATACAAAAGTTGGAAGCTGGGGGAAATTTAAACATATGTAAAATTGGTTTATTGAGTAGTTCAACATGGGTTATAAACATGAAATATTTTCATTTTTCTCCTGTTGCTTTGTCAAATGTCACTTCCCTCTTCCTGAAGCACCTCTTGGAAATGTGCCACACCTCTCACTAAAAGTTCAGGCTTGTTTAAGACTCCGATCTCATATTGGCTTTCTCATTTGTTCCCTTTCCTCCCTTCACCTCTTTTCTCTCCCCAGTTGTCCAGCCTTGTGGCTTGAAATACTTGGAGTGGGGAGAAGGAATGGTCTCATTCTGGTTACTTCCTTCCCTGCCCTATTTCAAAGCTCACTTCCCCCTGATTTGGGGGATTGGGAGAAGATACAGGGCAGGCAGAGATCTTTTGGGGTAATAGATTACCTGCTGCTGGTGAGAAGGCAACTAAGGTCTCAATATGACTCAGATTGATTCTGTCTGCTCTTCTGATATAAATGTCTCCACACAGATGCTGTGCATGCTTTCTTGGGAAGGTTTTCGGTCAGCCATCTTAGCCACTGGGTTCCCTCAAAAAGGGGCATTTTTGTCTCTCTTTAGTGTCTCTTAAGTAGTCCATGTCCCAACCTCCCTTAGAGTGGGGCATCTCCCTTTCCCTCTCCCTGAGAGCTTTGAGAACTGGAATGAGATGACCCTCTATCCTCTCCTAAGGCACACCAAACTAACATCTGTTATTGCCTCTCTGCTGCCAGATATTCCCTCAAGTCTTCTTCCTTTGCAGAAAATGTGCTGGCACCAATAATGAGTTTTACATATACCAACAAACTTCAAAGAATGGGCATCAAACCTTCCCTGGAACTCCCCTACCATGCTCTGCTCTTGTCCATTGGGGCCACTAGGACAGGACTGCAGTGAAGAAAGGGATTCATGTCTCCTCATCTCAGGCGACCTCTTACTATACTCGCAGAGCTCTATAAACATGTCTTATAACATCCTTTGTGATAGAATTCTCAGATAGCCCTCAAGATTCCTGCCCATCGGTGTACATGCCCTGTGTAAAGTTCTGTCCTTGAGTGGGCAGAACTTGAGAATCTGATTATATATCACTCTTTGAATCAATTATTAATTATTGGATTTTGAGTTAACCAAAACGGAGATGTCTATATGGGCCCAATCTAATCAGTTTAGCACTTAAAAGGAACTGGCCCTCCCTTCATGAAGGCAGAAAGATTGGATGTATAAGAGGGCATGGCAGGGACCATGTAGCCAAGACCTGAGAATGACCTCTAGAAGCTGACAGCAATTCCACGCCAACAGCTAGCAAGACAAGGGGGACCTCAATGCTACCAGTTCAGGGAAATGAATTTGACAAACTTCCTGAGGAAGCTTAGAAGCAAATCTTTTCCTAGCTGAGCCTCCAAGTGACGATGTGGTCTTGCTGAAACCTGGATTTCAGCATTGTGAGACTAAGCAGAGAACTCAGCTGAACTGTACCCAAGGAATCTCTGAGATAATATGTTTATGTTTTCTTAAGCCATTAATATTGGCCATTAAGCCATTTGTTATGCAGACATAGAACTTGTAAACTTCTCTTTTCTCTTTCTGTTCTTCGATTATCCTAGAGTGAGGATTGCTGCTGGCATTATATCTAGGAGGTAACAAGGCCAATTCAGCAATTTTATAGCAAACCTAAGACTATCTGGATGAAATTCTTGATGATGCTCCTCAGAATGGTGGAGATTGGGGGAATGATTAAGACATCTTTGTCCTTAAGTAGGAGCCTTAATCACAATTCCAGAGCATCAACATATTAAACATGCACAACTGGATGTTTTAGTGGCTTCCTTATATTGTTCAATTCTATTGAGAGTGAGAGAGAGATTGTGTGTGTGTGTGCGCACACATGTGTGTGTGTGTGTAAAACTTGGCTTAATTATGAAATTAACACAACGAAAAACTTTTTTTGCACTATAATGTACCATACATTCATTCAGGCAATTAAAAGGTTGTAGCCCTCATTCAACATTTGTTGAGATGCGTCTCTGTGCCAAGTCTTTGAATTTGATCTTAAATATTTATAATTGAAGACAAATTGAGCCTCAAGTTGCTGAACCTCAAGGAATCAATTCATTCAACAAATTCAACAAATATTTACTAACTGTCCTGGAAATGAAACCTGAATAAGGGAAAGCCCTCATCACCTAGGAGTGCAGCATACTGAAGATGGTCCAATAAATATTGAAATACAATGACAAACCTGGACACACTATCAATGTCTGGACATGTCAGAACAACTTTGTAGAGGACTGTGTCTAAGTCAGGGCACTTTATGCAAAATTCTGTGTATGTTTTTTTTTCCTTTTTAATGAGAAAAGAGTCCATAACTGCATCATATTTTCTAAGGAGTCCATGTCTAAGTTAACAAGGGAAGGTTGTCCTAATCAGAGGGAGTAAGATATGCAAAGACAAAGAGGCAACACAATATATTGCTTGGTCCAGGTAAGTGGATTGATGTGGTTATCTTACAGGGTATGTGTAGGTCATACTGGCATCTCTTCTCTTTTTATTGTTTTTTTTTTTTTAGAAGATCGCAAATACATGAAAATAATAAAAACTCTCAGTTGAGAACCAAGCAAAATAATCAAGGTTTTCCAAATTTAGGATGACTAATATCAAACAAGTACAAAGACCACTTGCTCCCAGAAAAAGTAAGAAAAAAAGAAAGCAGCTCTCCTCATATAAACTTTGTCCCATAAAACCAGGCTACAACCATTAGCAGCTTCTTTTATCACTTTGTATTAACAAAATTAAATTTTGGAACCTGGGCCTGTGTCCAATTTGAATAACAATTGTTTATTTTATATATATATTCATATATTTTATTTGTTGATTTGAAACAAATTTATACCACAAAAAATAATGGAATCTGAGACAACAGGAATTTGATCCCAAGAGGGATTTGGAGTCTGTTCAAATGTCTAACAAGTATTTTGCAACATACTTGCAAAGTCCCAGACTGCGTTGCTGGACCAAGTCTCTCTAGACAAAAGGTGTTCTGCAGTATCGAGGTATATTTCCATCATTCACTCCAAAAGCTGCTTGTTTGCCTTTATTTATTTTGGTGGAGATCTAGTTTTGCATTAGATTCCAATTATTACTTTCTGGATTTAGGTAACTTGCAATTGTGTGACTTTGCCTAATGATATGGCAATTGAAATGTTGCTTACTTCTAAGAACTCTTCTTTATTAATAATAAGTATGTTCCTAAGTATCCAGTGAAATAATCTAAAATTGCATACATTTCTATATTAACAATTTTCCTATGTCATAAAAATATTTCATTGGAAGTGAAGACCAAAAAGCAATGTAAGTACTAAATCTCAAGGATTTATCAACAGAAAACATTATAATTTTATAAAGACTATAAAACTATAATTATAATTATAACCAAGTTGTAATTATATAATTATTTAACTATAATTGCAAATTATAATTATTCCTAAAAATTACTGTAAACTTTCTTCACAAATTTGTGAAACCAAATAATTCTTTCCCCATTACTAGCTTTTCCTCAACTCTCAAAATGTTCTGAACCTACACATATTAACTTTTTCAGAGACTTTTTTTATTTAATAGTGAGCAGAGCTTCCAAATGAAGTTAAGACGTATGACATGTGAAACATGAAACAATTTTTAAAGAGCCAGCCTTCCTAAAGTCCCTGACATATCTTCACTCATGTTATGCTCCACTTCATGGTTGGATTAGACTGGTATGTGTGATCAATAGCCAGTTTCCTGAATCTTCCCATTGTGTCTGCTGTTCATGTGCATAATCGATCAGAGAAATTCCACAAACCATACTACTTTGTGCCTGTGTGCGTGCATATATATATATGCACATAGGTCTGAAATGAGCAATCCTAACACAAGGTTTAGAAATGTCCAATAGCTATATAACCACAGTTTTCAGAGTCATGGATCACCTCACTCATCTGATTTTATTCTGACAAGTTTGTAGGCCTGATTAAGACATAATGATGACACTACCTTCTCCTTCCAACCATTCCATTTTAGCATTACAGCAGTGCTTTGAAAGTGCTCTTCCGATTCTGATATTCCTCCTTATTCATACATCTTATTTACACATTTGGGAATTCACTGCTCCAGGGTCAATGTTATCTCAGATCTTGACGTCTTTCCACAACCCAATCTCAAGATGGTTTTCCCTTCCAGTTGACAACACTGACCTTTCCACCCATTGGGCTAAATAGTGGTAGCAAAATGTTAGGCTAACTTATACATTTCATAAAGTACCTTCTACTGGACAGAAATTTTGTTGTTCATAGACTTAAATATCAGGGGAATGAAAAATTTCTCCCTTTCTCTTCCCTAAATTCTGTACTTTCAGAACCAGAGAAACCCATATATATATCTATATATCATTCCATGACTCTGAAAATTGTAGTTATATAGCTACTGGACATTTCTAAATCTTATGTTAGGATTGCTCATTTCAGACCTATGTGCCTATGTATCTTTTATGAAGGAAGATTTGGATTACAAATCCAGACAATTACATCTGGTAGTATTCTACAAATCAGAGGCCCTTGCTGTGTGTGGCATCTCTCAGAACACTGGATTTCAAACTGGAGCAAAAAGTTGTTAATGTTTTTGTATGTAGTGTCTTTTTTTTTTTCTTTTTTTGAGACAGAGTCTCGCTCCATTGCCCAGGCTGGAGTGCAGTGGCGTGATCTCGGCTCACTGCAACCTCCGCCTCCCGGGTTCATGCCATTCTCCTGTCTCAGCCTTTCGAGTAGCTGGGACTGCAGGCACCTGCCACCACGCCCGGCTTTTTTTTTTTTTTTTTTTTTTTTTTTGTATTTTTAGTAGAGATGGGGTTTCACTGTGTTAGCCAGGATGGTCTTGATCTCCTGACCTCGTGATCTGCCCGCCTCGGCCTCCCGAAGTGCTGGGATTACAGGCGTGAGCCACCGCGCCTGGCCTGTGTGTAGGGTCTTAAAACACTTATCTAATGGAAAGAGTGACCTAAGCCACCCAAAGTTACTGCATCACAGAGTTATCATGACAATATTATAACACAGTACATACAAAATGCCTGATGTAGAACAAGGCATGTAGCAGGTGCTCAAAAATAGATACTGAAGAATTAAGTCTTAGCCAACTTGTCCTGCCACATAATTTAGTTTCCACTGTGACAAGCTGAGGTCTCAGTTCTTTGTCACAGAAGACTTGAGTATATGCTGCACAATGGTCACTTTCCATTATATTTGTTTTTTAAAAGCTATTGGTATATAATTGACGTACAATAAGCTACATATATTTAAGCTATATAACTTGTTGAATTTTAATACACCTTTGAAGCCCTCACCATGCTCAAGATAATTAACAAATCTATTCTCTTGAAATTGTTCTCTTGCATCTTGGTAATCCATTCCTCCTTCCCCTGCCTCCTTCCCTGGAAAATCACGAATCTGCTTTCTCTCACTGTTAAGTAGTTTACATTTTTGAGGCTTTTCTAGAATGGCCTCTAGAAATTGAGGCCCTCAGTCCTTCAACTGTAGGAAACTGAATCCTAACAACCCTTACAGAAGCCTGGAAGAGGACTCTGAGCCTCAGATGAGGTTGCAGCTCCAGCCAACACCTCAATTGCTGCTTGTGAGACACTGAGCAGAGGACCCAGTTATGTCGTGCTCAGATGTGTGACCTACAGAAGCTTCGCGATGCTAAATGCATGTTGTTTTAGGCTGCTAAGTTTCTAATAATTTGTTCTACAGCAATAGAAAAATAATACACTGCCAAAACAGTGACCCTATCCAGGCTACCATTTCTGAATATTTTAAACAGTCCCATTACATTTTAATGAGAAGGTTTTTTTTTTTTCGAAGAGTCCAGTACCATTTTTATGACCACCTTCCTAAACGATAGCTAAAAATGTAAACTGAAAATCTCCTTTATAATAGCATTGATCTGCCGAGATGCTGTAGCTGCTGTTTTATTGTTCACAGAATCTCTCCAGTGCATTTGATCATTCTGATGACTTATCATTTCTCTGCATATGTTAGTCAAGGAAGGATGGAACTGGAGAGTATTTTCCTTTGAAGCTTGGCATGGGGAATAAAAGAATTATGTGTATCAGAACTCTAGTTCTTTGAATCTCCTTTTCCTCTTTTGTTCTCCTACTCTTAGAACCAAATGAAATTGAAAATGCAAGAAGAAGCCAAAAAGCATCAGTAAGATACACTTGACAATTTTGATTGACACTTCCTACTGCAGGTGAATTCCACATTTCTACACGTATACTTTGCTTCAGAGAGCAAGACCATAAATACTGGCTCTCAGGCTGGTTGGAGGATAATGTTTTTCAAGTTCTAACATTGTGTTATTGATGTAAATACTACTACTATACCACCATTTTGCCATTTTCATGCATATTTTAAATTTTATATACAGTATTTTGGGTAAAAATTAACTTTGGAGTCAACCAGCCTGAGCTCTACTGCCTCTCTCAGTTACTTGCCATGTGCTTGTGTGTAAGTGAGCTAACCTCTCTGAACACCAGTGTATTAATCTGTAACATAACAATCAGAGCTCCCATTGAGTATAGTTGTGAAGATTAAATGAGAAATGTATGTTGTTTACTTAATGGTGATTGACATACAGATAGTAACGTTATTACTATTAATGTATTAACATGTTAACTTATTAATGGTAGCAAGTCTTAAGGTAAATTTATTTTAAAATCTGAACATTAATAAATTCAGTCAAACAAATTCCAAACATTCATTACCTCTACAAGTATTATATGCAAAGTATTGTACAGGAAATAAGCAAAAGTCTAGGCTAGGCAGAGTGGTATTTTTCAATTATAGGTTCTTTTTAAAGAAAAATGTCCTAGTGTATCTGTGTTAATTTGAATGATTTTTATTATAATATTACAAATACACACACACACACACACACACACAAAACCTTGTACCATGTCTTATGAGGTATAATATAAATGATAGGCATCAATTTGTTCATCCCACATGAACACAGTAGTAATAGTTATCTTTTGACTGTCATGCAATTTTTACATGTGATCTCATTTAGTCACCTAATAGCCTTGGTAAGTTCAATGATTATCCCTAACTCTCTGAGTGATTAGAAAAAAAAAAAAATGAAATGTAGCAGGAAAAGGGTTAGGAGAAATATCTGAGCTAGAGATATATACTAAAAACTGATAGTTGAAGATGAAATCATGAATACGAAATTTCAAGAGATAAGAAAAAGGATGCTTACCCTTCTATATATAAGTGAATGGCTAAGACATACATAAGAGAGTCCCATTTGAACCACGGTCTGTCTGACCCAAAGATTGTGCACTTACCACTACTTTGTATTTACAACTGGGCTAGCAGTCAGACCTAGTTTTATGCATAGTGAAATTAATAAGCTTTAGTGTTCCAACACTACTATTCAATTCACAATATAAGGAAATGAATACACTTTGCTGAATAGTTGTGACTCCTAAACCTTGTCAGGTCTAATATTATTTGCCTAGGTGAAAATTATCACTGCCACATTGACTACAATAAAAAGATTTGAATCCAGATTTTAATGCTATGTTCTTTCTATCTGTGTTATCAATGAAAGACCACACAGAAATCAAAAAGAAGAGGGCGGTTTCTAGAAAGCAAGTCTAGAAAGGAAGAGTAAAAAATAAATGTTTATTTGGGAGACACTCTTTTGGCCTTTGTCATTTCCAATATTCTGTTCATAGTTGTCCTATTAGTTTTGTGGTCTACGGAAATATTACGAAATCTTCAAGACCAAGAAATACACACTGTTCCTTCCAGAAGGCCAATTTTCTTTGCCAAACTAAACAGAAGTTCTTCAAAAATGCTCTGCTATGCTGGAATGTATGAACATCATTTCAGTTCAGCCTTGCCTATTCAGTTCCTAAGAAGGGAATCGTTATGAAGTGAGTATGAAAGCCACTCAATGTGTGTAAAGAAGATGAATGGCAATGCTGTCTTTTCAACTTCTCCCATCCATAGTTAAAATGGAATCATGGTTGTCCAGCTAAAGACTTTATTTGGCAGCCTTCCTTGCAATGAGGTGCGGTTATGTGATTAAGTCCTGGCTGATGCAACATGAGCATAAGCCATATAATTGTTGCTAAAAAATCAGTTACTGTTTACTTATGAAAGTAAGTCATGCATTTAAGAGAAAGCAATGTGCATTCCCCTTAATTGTTTCCCATTTCCAGTGGATATAATGTGGATATGATGACTAGAGCTGAAGAAATCATCGTAATCCACAAGGTGGAAATTGTCCACACAGCTGCCTTTCCTACACTGGATGCCTTTCACCTGGGCTGCCATGTGAGCCAGAAATAAGCCATTTTGTTTAAACTACTGTTATTTCAGAACCCTATAACAACGATTGTATCTACAGCCTAATTAATTTTGAATTTGATACTAGAATTGGTGTTGCCAGCTCACACCTGTAATCCCAGCACTTTTGAGAGGCTGAGGAATGTGGATTTCTTGAGCCCAGGAGTTTGAGACCAGCCTGGACAACATGGAAAAACCCGATCTCGACAAAAAATACAAAACTTAGCTGGCCATAGTGACGCATGCCTATGGTCCCAGCTACTCGGGAGGCTGAGACAGAAGATGGCTTGGGCCTGGGAGGCAGAGGTTGCAGCGAGCCAAGATCACAACTGCACTCCAGCCTGGGAGACAGAGTGAGACCCTGTCTCAAAAAAAAAAAAAAAAAAAAAAAATAGAATTAGGATTGCCACAACAGAATATAACTTCCTGGGTTAACAGTTGGACAGTAGGTAGAAAAGACACAGATATTAGAAGCTAGAAAATGGTGATTCTACCAGTATTTTGGAAACATGTTTAGAAAAATTGTTACCTCTGATACCTCAGAAGGCAGAACATATATGAGTGTAGCCTGTGACTCTAGGAGATTACTGGAAAAACAAACAAACAAAAACCAGAATGCTCGTGTGCATGGCAGCCTGTTGAAGCTTTTGGAAAAATCCTACAGAAAAGAAGGACTCAAGCTAGAACTAGAATGTTTGTGAGCATAGATCGAAGGGAATAAGGTAGTTTTTCTCTGCATGTAGCCTGAAATCTACTGGACAAAGAATCTAGTAATTTAGAAATACGCAACACTGAAAAAGTTAATTATTTCTTCCAAAACTGAAATGGGGCTAAGAAATAGCTCTAAAGATGAAGGCTTAGCAGAAACTAAAACTGTGTCCAGGCTTCTCTCATACTTCTTACCATAAGTACTCTCTGCTAGTCAGTGAGTCTAGTCCAGAAGCAATGATCAGATTAATGTTGGCCCTTTCCCAATCAATGCTATTGTTCTGGATGGCCTCAGATAGGCTACTAATAAAATGGGAATGGGCAAAGGCACAAGTCCAGGTAAAAAAGAAAAGGTCTCCAAATGTAAGAAGTCTGACTAGAGAATATCTTTGGCTGCTTACTTATGAAACCCGCTGGAAGCCAGTAGACTGTAAGCCAACTAAGATTTTGGGAAAAATACGTTACCCCCCAAAAACACACTTCTAGTATGAAAAAAACCTGTGTCAGTTGGACCTACAAAGCAGCCCAAACCTCCAAAGCTATACATTTCCCAAGAGCAACATACTCTCCAGCACTTCCTAAAGTTTCTATGGAGGAAAATGGACAAGGAAGAATGCCTCAGAAGGGCCACAGAGCAAATGGAGAAATAAGTTCCTCAGAGAGTATAATCAGCATTTCCAAATGAACTAACCAAGCTGCCAGACAGTTTGCAATATCATCCTCAGCAAGACATGATGATTACTAAAAACCAGTGACTGTTCTTTGGTTTCCCACTCTTCCCCATTTCAACTGCGCATTTGGATGTCCTGCTCTTCCTCTAACATTTTTATTAAGTTTGGGTGTGAAGAGGAAGAAACAGATATTTTTTAATTGTCATATTCCTGGACCATAATAAGCTTCATCTTCCTAATGGGGAGGACCACACATGACCTATGACCCTAGACTTTGTTGATTCTGTAACTGAATTGAACTCTGGGATTGACTCATTTGGAAAGAGACAGAATGTGTTAGACTGCTCATTGTCTTCTCCAATATTTATTCTCTGCTTTTTCCTCAGTTACAGAACTTTCAGCTGAGAATATGGGATGCCCAGTAAAAATCTATACATCCCAAAAGTTGTGATTTGTTTTTGTTTTTTTCTAGATTATGTCCTTAAAGGAACATCTACATCCTCCCTTTTTCCTTCCTATTGGCCAAAATGCAGATGTGATGGGTGGAGCTAAAGGAACCATTTTTGTCCGTGAAGTATCAATTCTAGGTTGAAAACTATAGAACCTCAAGCAGGCCCACCAATAATATTTTTAGGGTCTGGGAATTAGAGTTCAGATGGAAGACCAAATAACAGAGACACAAATATTTAAAAGTTATACATCTGCGAGAAAACTAGTAAATATAATATGTCCTAACCTCCTATCTTGACAAATATCAAATAATCTTGTATGCCAAGTTAAAGTGTAAAATCCTTGAAGTCCTTTGAATAATGCACCAGAATATGGTGAGTGCAGGAATACCCACCTAGCACTGGCTCCTGGCCCATGTCTATTCTCACCCAAATATAGCTCCATGCTGCACTGCAAGGGACCTCATGGCATGTATATCCATCCCAGCTCACAGATCTGTTTCCTATGAACAGTTGCCACTTAGCGACCCCTTGCCTTGAGCCTAAGGGAGTACAGACCAGTAACACAGATCATGCTGGGGTAGAGGTATGCTTGGGCCCTGGAAGCAGACTCAGGTCCACTTAAACTGGGTATGCTGAATTGTGAGTACCTAGCACTTGGTCTAGACTGTGGTGGGGAGCCAAACAGGTTCCACATAGGCGTACATCCTTGGTTTTGAAGATTTCTTGCTCTGTGGAAAATGCACACATCTGGAGAAGGGACAAGGCGAAACCCTCAAAGACAGGGCTAAGGGGAGGGGCCGTTCTAGCTCTAGTCTAAGGATGTCACTGGAAGCAAGATAAAGAGATTCATATCTCTGACACTGGGGAGCCATCATGTCTGCCCTAGAATACTTACTCTTAAATATTTTCATAAGAAATAAACATATTTTATATTGTTTATACTACTGCTGTTTTGAGTCTTTGTTATAATAATTATACCTATATCCTAACTGTAATGCTAGGTGTCTTCAGGCAGGTTACCTGGATTTTATTGCCATACAATATTATACAAAGAAATACCTGAATCTTTTCTCCAAAAACCCTAATCTTCTTTATAAGACATTTCCATAGTATTTTTCTGTCATAATTGTGGATAATTATATTCTATATATAAATTATAATTATATATAGTTTCTTATAGGTATGGTTAATGTCAGCTACATATCTTTCCTTTTTAGCTTGTGCTTCCAATGTCCTTTTCCTACTGGCTGAACTTAAACATTGCTGACAAAATAAATGGCAGGATTCCACTCAGGTTGGACCTAAACAAGAACAAAATAAACACGTGCCTGCAAATATAGTAAAAAGCATGACACTGGATGTTTCCTGTGATTAGGATGCTTTTCTCTCTTTTAAGACAATTTAAACACTTTGCTCTAAATATGTTTTTTCAGCATTTTTGTTTGGTCTGTTTATAAATGAATAGACCAAACTATACACCTATACTTAATGCACTCCTTAGTATCCATATGTTGCCAATTTTAAGCGTTGGTCTTCATAGATGATGTAGATATGTCAGTTTCTCAGAATGTCATATGACTTAAGTTAGTCAATTTAATATCTTCTCATCTAATGACCACTGTGCCCACATCCTGAAATCTTGAGATATCCAGCTGTGAAAGTTTATTGGTCCTAAGAGTGATAGGATGGCCTTGGCCATCTCTGGATTTGAATCAATTTAAGAAATGGTAGACTATTGAGTTCTTTCTAAGACACATAAATTATACCATTTGTTGTATACAGTTACCTATTTAATAATCTAAACCACTCTGAGGTAAATACAACAGGTAGAGAACTCAGACCACAAACTGAAGAGTATAAGAAATACAAATTTCTAATTTATTCATAATGAAACTTAATTTGTACATTAGGCCTCTATTCTGTGAAGTGGAGATAACTTAATCTCACTTGTATTAAGAATGCCAAGCTTTTTTTTGCCGTGAGTTGGCATCTAAGTACTGGAGGACTTTATGAGTGGCATGGTAAGGATCATAGTGAGGATAACTATAATCCTCAGTTTGCATTTTATAGCCACTCTGATATTATCCGAGACAGCAACATTCTTCAGGCTCTAGATCTGTGTTATCCAGTGTGGTAGGTGGTAGTCATCTGTGATGTTTAGTACTTGAAATGTGGCTATTCAGAATCGAAATGGGTTGTAAGTGTAAACTACACACTGACTATTAAAGATTTAGTACCAAAGAACTCCCTCACTTATAATATTTAATTGATTACATATTGAAATATTTGGGGCATGTTTGATTAAAGAAACTATTGTTAAATTAATTTCACCTGTTTACTTTGTAAAATATGGCCACTAGAAATTTAAGATTATATATGTGGGTCAGGAGCCGTGGCTCACGCCTGTAATCCTAGCACTTTGGGAGGCTGAAGTGGGTGGATTGCTTCAGGTCAGGAGTTCAAGACCAGCCTGGCTAACATGGTGAAACTCTGTCTCTACTAAAAATATAAAACAAAAACAAAAACAAAAAAACACAAAAACAAAATTAGCTGAGTGTGGTGGTAGGTGCCTGTAGTCCCAGCTACTCTGGAGGCTGAGGCATGAGAATTGCTTGAACCTGAAAGGCGGAGGTTGCAGTGAGCCAAGATTGCGCCACTGCACTCCAGCCTGGGAAACAGAACAAGACTGTCTCAAAAAATAAAATAAGATAAATAAATAAATATAAAGATTATATATATGGATTGCATTATCTCCATTGGGCAGCACTTCTCTGGATCTCTGCTCACTTCCTTTCTCCCAGCCACAAAGCTACCTTAGTCAAGCAAAGTCATCTCCATTAATATTACACCTAGTATTTTTGCAGATTAGTGGAACTATTATGAAAAAGTTAACTGAGGTTACTCTGGCTCAATTGCACAGTGTTGCTTAGATATTCTTAGATATCAAATCCTATAGGTAGAAAGAAATCTATTTCAATTTTTCTAAAAATCAAAATCACCATTCTCTTTTGAGGATCATGTAGGAAGTTTTCTTCTACAGGGCTCTGACGAACTCATAAACTTGTTCATTGGATATTTAGAACAAAAAATTCATGCCCTGTTTCTGACTACCAGGAAAACATCAATTTTTGTCACAAATGAACAAAGACGTTTCCATGATTTTTTCTTTAAATTGGGAGACCGCTCTGAGGGGAGTGCAGAGGTTGATGCTATTATAAGATACGGTACTATTCGAGCCATTCAGTTTCCAAAAGGAAAAATCATTCAATGTCCCGGAAGCAAGAATGTGTAGAATGTTATAAAATGCCTTAAACTGATGGGGGTAACTGTCTCAACAGGAAGCCCAAATCAAAGTTAACAAAGTCACTCTTTAGGAGGACAAAACACTCTAACAAGAACAGGGCCGAGCATGGTGGCTCACGCCTGTAATCCCAGCACTCCGGGAGGCTGAGACTGGCAGATCACTTGAGGTCAGGAATTCGAGACCAGCCTGGCCAACATTGTGAAACCCTGTCTCTGCTAAAAATACAAAAATTAGTTGGGTGGGGTAGTGCAGGCTTGTAATCCCAGCTATACGGGAGGCTGAGGCAGGAGAATCTCTTGAACCGGGG
Source organism: Homo sapiens (assembly GCF_000001405.40). Lineage (NCBI taxonomy): Eukaryota > Metazoa > Chordata > Mammalia > Primates > Hominidae > Homo > Homo sapiens. Next base: position 71,000,283 of record NC_000012.12, read on the forward strand.
AGGCAGAGGTTACAGTGAGCTGAGATCAGGCCACTGCACTCCAGCCTGCGTGACAGAGTGAAGCTCCTTCTCAGAAAAACAAAACAAAAACAAAGCAAAACAAAACAAAACAAGGATATTCTAACAGAATAGGAAGCAGAGAAGACAGAAATTTAGTGACTCTCATTTCCTGGGAGGAAAATCTTGGTGGTTTGGGAAGGATTTGGCAAAACATTTTGTCTCTACCCCTTGTGTTAGAACTTGGAAAAAAGAAAATAGAAGCTGTTGAGGAAACAATTGTTTCTCCCTGTGTCTTCCTAAGGCTTGCTGAATAAAGACAAGGGCTAGCTAAGGGTTTAAGGTAGGCAGCTGATTGGAGACACAGTGCTTTTAGTTAATGGGCTGAGAGCAGTAAGAAAACTCTAGCAGAGTTACCACTCACAGTCATCTAGTGAGAAAAATGTGACTGTGGCGTGATGAATTAAGATGACAGTTTTAGGATCCTCCAGGGTAGCTCTCTAGTTGTCAAAAAGAAAGTCAAGTTTGCTTACCTTTTCATAGTGATACTGTAATAAATAGATAATTAGGAACAAAATACCCAATCTCCATCCCCCCGCTATCCCCCATACACACACAGGCTCAGAAGCAACATCAGCTGGCAGGCAGTACCAGGGTGAGGGAAGTTCTCCAAAGCAATCAAAGCAGAGAGAGCCAGAGGGCTGATATAAACCACATCCAAGAGAGAGCAACTGCCAAGACCAAAATAAGAAAAGTCAGACTAGATGTCAAATTGAATGGGGGCACAAGGTAGCATGGAGGAGAGAAGCCCAAATGTCCAGGAGTCAATGAAATGTAGAAGTGAAATCAAGGTCAAAAGGTAAGTGGGCACAAAGCAATATTCATTTAACAAAGTGAATACCTGTTATGTGCTAGGCAAAATAGGTGCTGAGGATGCAGTAATGAACTTGTCTTTAAGGAACCTATGGTCTAGTTGGGAAGGTAATAAATAAATAGCCCATTACACACAGAGTGCTGTGTATTGTGGGAGCACATAATCAGGGCACATAACTCAGTTTTGGGAGTCAGAGAATATTTCCAGAGTACATGGCATCAAGACTTAGGTCTAAAGGATGATTTCAACTCAGCAGCCAAGATGGTTTCTCAGGAAGTAAGGAGGGAAGGCAACGGAAGAGACAGAGGGAAGCCGAGAACAGCTTCCCAGGACAAGGGCAGAATACACAAAGGTTTAGAGTTAAGAGAGAATACAAAGAAATACAAATAAGGTGAAAACATGAAAAATTATACCATGTTGAGGAGTTTGGGCTTTACACTGGTGGCTAAAGGAAGCATCTAAATTGTCTGCTTTTCAGTAACACTGAAATATAGACAATAAATTTGTGGGAGGCAAGACTGAAGGCTGAGGTAACAGTAGGAAGCTCTGACAGTTATATAGGCAAGAGATGACAGCGACCTGAGCTAGGCTGGTTGCAGTAGGGTTGAAGAAAAGTGGACGGATTCTGAGATCTAGACATCAAATTGAGAGGATTTATTCCATGGTTGAATCCAAGATTCAGGGAACTCAGGATTTGGATCTGGACAAAGGCCTGAGCTTCTGGTACTTTTTCCAAGAATAGGGACAGACTCACCTTAGTCCCATATTCTAGAAACCTGTATGGTCAGCCTACTATGTAAAGGTGGAGTCTATGAGGATTCCTAGTTCTTTGAGCAAAGCTGCCCTGTGCATTGAGGGACCATCAGAGGAAAGTTGGGGCTTCTCTGTTCTGATTTGCAACAATAGCTTCTGAGAGATGAATGAAAAAAGAACAGCCACAAATATAATTCTTTCAAATACAGACCAGATCCTGGCCCAGCTGGAGGTGGAGCCACAGGGGAAGCTTACTGTTGTAAAAGAAACTCTATGGCAAATAATTTTGTAACATAAAGACTATTTTTATATTTCAAGGACTATGTATCAGTTTAAGCTTCTAAAACCTAATAATGACAGTCAATAAAAAACTGGATCTAGCAGAGTCTAAGAGGAAAAGATCATTTATCAACACCAGCACCAATATCTTACGGGTCCCAATGCACTTTATGAATAGCAAACATGAAGCAACCATTGCGGAAATCACCAACTTACCAGAAGCACACTGACCATAGGCAGTGGTATTCAGACAAGACTTCCATAGTGGGATTATGATTTTTTCCACTAATTTTGTAGGATAAAAAACTAAAGGGTTCTTCCTAATTTTCCTAATCATACCTACAAATTGATATTTTATATGTAAAAAATATATAGATTTTTCTCAGTGATGAAACATCACTTTCAATCTGATTTTAATGTATTCAAAGCTATTGACTTTATACTTTATATATAAATATAGCAAAGAATATTGGAATGGAATAACATTACAGATTTTGGAAAGCACAAAGGGAAAAGAATAAGCCACATAAAGTAATAGTAACAAGCCACATAAAAATTGAGACATTAATGTTAATAGTATTTTTTATTTGAAAGTTATGTTTTGATATTTGATATATTTGAAATAACTGAACTTGTTTGCTGAGTACTTTTGACATATAATTCAATCTGTTCTGTAAAATATTGTTTTTCACCATCCAGTGTCTTACTCTTCCAGAAGAAATTTTTATTTTCTCCTCTGAAGACTAATACACAAAATTTATATTTAAGTAGTTTAATATGCATATTAAAATCCAAATTATTTTCTATATTAGTACACAATCAACTGCTTACAGGATATAGTCTATAAGATATATATGTGTGTGTACCCACACACATACACACACACACATATATTCACAAATTAACTATAAATTTTGATGGAACTTCCAAAACCAAAACAATTTGGATGAAGTCTGAGTAGTTAACTATGTTTACATATTTTCATATGTGAAGTCACCATTTCACAAATTACAATTTTCCTGTTATCTTTAGGCTGTCTTATGGGAGTATAAGTAATCACATTTCTAAAGGAAGCCTCCATAAGCTTTCTATGGAAAAAACTCTTACGTCTCTAAAGCCTTAAAATGATACTTGGAAACAATAGTACCTTCAGGAAAGGCCCTGAACACAGAGCGAGGGGTAAAATGGCTGGCCATGAGAAGTATGAAGGGAGAGAAGCCCCTCTCTCATGTTCTTACAGACTAGAAACGCTCACCAGGGCAGTGGAAAAAGAGGTCCCCTATGATAAATGAGGTTTTATTTTGAAATTTACTGGCCAATCAGGATCAGCCAGGCAGGAGAATTTACAGGGCCAAACATTCAGTTCAGGCTTTTCATATCTAGAAGGAATTTTTATATCAATATGATGATATGAACTGGAAAGTTACACAAATTACACTGTTTTGAAAGGACAAATATTCACTCTGATGCAGAAGCATTGTAGAAAGAATGCTGAGGTAACCAAATATACAGGGCAAAGATGGGAAGGGTTGGTTACCTAAATTGATTCTAACTCAGCTGCCTGAGTTAGCAAGTTCCAACACAAAGAAAAATTGGGGAGTGAAAAAACCAGCCAAGATTTCAGAATCAAAGGCCAGTTAGGAGAAAGCTGAGAATGGGCAGGAAGTGTATTGGAGGAAGCTCACTTTTGTGGGAACAGCCAGAGAGTTGAATGTACAAAGGCAAAATGGTTTAGCAAGGCCAAAAGTGATACAGGCAAATGCTAGGACCAAGAAAAAAGAATGTAATGGGTAAGTGACAGCAGAGAGGAGCCATACAACAACATTACTACAAGAAAATTAGGCAGGGATAATTGGATCACAATCAATTCTGAATTGTAATTGGTGGTTTGAAGGACAGAACCTAACCTCCTAGAAGAAGTGACTGAGAAGGACTTGTTGGGGAATAAGGAACCAGTCGAACAGGCCAGGGTTTTAGAAAGAACTAATAGTGAAAATCTGAGTTGAGAAATAAAAAATAGGAGTTAGGGAAATTGAGGTACAGTCCTACTTATATAACACGGAAAGTAGAGAAATTCTGAAATTCATAAACGTGTATGCCTTACCTGGAAATAGAGCCTGTAAGGAGGTGATAAAGGTTAATGAGGTCAAAAGGGCTGGGCCCTAATCTGATAGGGATGGTGTCCTTATAGGAAGAGATATCAGCATTCTCTCTCTCCGCTATTTGAGGACACAGCGTAGGTGGCTGTCTGCAATCCGAGGAGAAAGCCTTTGCCAGATACTGGTCCTGCTGGCACCTTAATCTTGGACTTCCAGTCCTCAGATCTGCGATAAAATAAATTTCTAAATTCAAGCCACCCAATCTATGGTATTTTGTTGTGGCAACCTGAACAGACTAAGACAATAGGATAAAATCCAGACCCCCTTTATATAGCATTCAAGTCTGCCCCCAGCCAACTGCTATCCGATCTTACATGTCTTTTTATGCTAAATGCCCTGTCCTGCTTATTCCTCTAACCACACACCTGCCCAATTCTCTCGCTCCAACTTGTATTCACTCTTTCAGACACTACTCTGACGTCATATTCTCTGAGAGGTAGATGACTGTTATGGGTTGAATTGTGTTCACCCAAAAGTTATGTTCAAGTGCTAATTCTCTGGTACCTGTGAACATAATCTTATTTGGAAATAGGGTCACTACAGATGTAATCAAGTTAAAATGAGGTCATAATGGATTCAGTCGGGACCTAATCCAATGATCCATGCCCTAATAAAAAGAGAGAAATTTGTGCTTTTTAAAAACAAATGTTATTGTGTATATTTAAGGTATACAACATGATATGGGGTACATATAGATAGTTAAAAGGTTACTACAGTGAAGCAGATTCACATGTCCATCACCTTACAATAGTGACCCTTGTTTTTTTCCGAGGGCAACCAAAATCTACTCATGTAGCGTGAATCCCATATACAGTACAATTTTATTACCTCTCATCCTCATGTTCATTTAGTCTCTAGACTTGTTCGTCCTACATTATCGGCTATTTTCCATCCTCTGACTACATCTCCCTATTTCCTCCCCACCCCATGCCCTTTCCTGTTAACCACTGTTTTGTTCTTTATCTATGTATATTTTTAGATTCCACACATAAATGAGATAATGCAATTATTTTTCTATGTCTGGCTTATTTCACTTAGCATAATGTTCTCCAGGCTCATCTATATTGTAGCAAATGGTAATATCTCATTCTTGTTTATGGCTGAATAACATCCATTGTACATATGTACCATAGTATTTTTATCCATTCATCCATCGATGAATACTTATATTGTTTCCATATTTTGGCTATTGTGAATAATACTACAATAAACATGGAAGTACAGATATCTTAACAAGGTGGTGATTTCAGTTCCTTTGGATATATGACCAGAGGAAGAATTGCTAGGTGATATGGTAGTTCTATTTTTAATTTCTTTGGAAACCTCCATACTGTTTTCCATAAGGGCTGTACCCTTATGGAAATTCTACAATTCCCACCAACAATGTACAAGAGTTCAATCTACATTCACACCAACAGTATACAAGAGTTCCCTTTTCTTTACATCCTCATCAACATTTGCTATCTTTTGACTTTTTGATAATGGCCATCTTAACAGGTGTGAGATGGTATTTCACAGTGTAGCACAGCTCAGCCAAGGCTCTGATTACCTTGGATTCGAGGCACTGCATCTGACTGGTCCCAGAAAGCACTGCCACATAGGTCAGCCAGAGCCTCTGAATCCCTGGGAGTGGGATGTCACACCATTTGCGGTGCTTCTAGAAGATGAAACTGCTCCAATGTACCAGAGACTTGGAGCCCTAGGAGGGCAGGGGCTGCCTCAGCTGTAGTGCTGGGGACAGAGACAGACACACAGGAAGAATGTTACATGACAAGGGAGGCACAAATTGAAATTAATGCTGCCACAATCCGGGAATACCAAGAATTGCCAGCAACCACAAGAAGTGAGGAGAGAGGTGTGGAACATGTTCTCCTTCTGAGCCCTTCAGATGAAACTAACCCTGCAGACACCCCTTTATTTTAGACTTCTAGCCTCCAGAGCAGTGAGAGAATAAATTAGGTTTTAAGCTACACAGTTTACAGTACATTTTTGAACAGCAGCTCTAGGAAACTAATACAATGACAAACAATATTCCCACTCTTTCTCCAATCCTGAAATAATTAATTGCACTCCATAAGGCTTTGTTTTTCCCTGCAATCTTAGAACAAAATATTATTGATGTCTATCGTATATACCAAGCACTCTGCTAGATGTTGAGAGTACAACAGAGACCAAGAGAGACAAAGTTGTAGATTTTTTTTTTTTTTTTTGAGATGGAGTCTTGCTCTGTTGCCCAGGCTGGAGTGCAGTGGTGCGATCTTGGCTCACTGCAAGCTCTGCCTCCCGGGTTCATGCCATTCTCCTGCCTCAGCCTCCTGAGTAGCTGGGACTACAGGCGCTCACCACCATGCCCAGCTTATTTTTTTGTTTTTTAGTAGAGATGCGGTTTCACTGTGTTAGCCAGGATGGTCTCAATCTCCTGACCTCGTGATCCACCCGCCTCGGCCTCCCAAAGTGCTGGGATTACAGGTGTGAGCCATTGCGCCCAGCCAAAGATGTGATTTTATAAAATCTACTGGGAAGACAGATTAAAAAAAAAAAAAAAAAAAAAAAAAAAAAAAAAAAAAAACAAGGAAACAAACAAATACAAGGACACATAATAATGAAGATTAAAAGCAAAGTAGAAATGGAATTTAAAGTGTAGAACTTGTGGTCATCAACACCTTTCTAAGGAGGTGACACGTAAACCACTGGAGAGCTTCCCTTCAGGGAAAACAGCAGGCACCAGGTTTCTGAGTGAGGAAGTGCTTAGTTCCTTGTGAGAAATGACAGAAGCCCAGACTGAGTTGGTTAATTTTATTAAATGAGGATGGAGAGATAAGCAATGGCCAGGACCTACAGGGCTTTCTTATTGTTTTTTAATCACTTTAGTTCCTATGAATTGGAATGGGACGATGGTGTCTGGAGGGGAAGTATGAGAAGCAGATAAAAGTTTGTGGCAATAGTTCAGGAGAGATAACAGTTTCTTGGATGAGGGTGATGGCAGTAGCAATGGATAAATGTGGATAGATTTTTAGATATACATTGGAGTAGAATCAGCGGGAGTTGCTGATAGACTGGCAAATACCATTATAACAGCACTAATGCCTTATACTTAATTCAATTGCTTATATTTCTATCTACCCTATTAGACTGTATAGTTTTGACAGCAGGGATTATCAGAATCATCTTTTTAATTTCTACCACTTAGCATAAAGCTCAGTAATCAGTTGTTGAAATACATATGTCTACACACACATACATATGTTTGTATATATGTATATATCTTACTTTGCATCATACAGTTTATAAGATCCAGGTAAGCCAGATGCATAATCATAAAACTGAGAAGAGATGATCCAGTTAACTCTGGGTTGACTGTAGCCATATGCTGAAATAAATGTGTTCAGTTTCTAAATGAATAACTCTTACATTCACAAGCAATAGATAATCACCTGAAATGAGACAATTTTATTTTTGGGGAAGGGAGGGAGATCAAATGTGTCTGATATTAGAAACATTAGTCATTGCTCAAGTACTTTTCATTTCCCACAAGTGATGGTTTGTATTACGTAGACTTTAATTCAGCCTCTCTTTGGGTGGTCCCTTTTTAAAGGGGCTCCTTATGGTTTGTTCATCCTGTTGATACTCTCTTCTCATCAAAGCAGAGTAAGTGTTGCAGGGTTGATGTTAATAGAATCTGCAGTGAGATCTTAGCTGGAGAACACAAAACCACATTAACTGATATTTCCTCTTACATAGTGTGTAGATGATCTCTAATGATCAGGAGTGTTTAAGACCATGATGCTCTTGCATACATTCTACATGTGACCTTAGAATAGTCTCTAGGTTTTTGTTGTGATTCCTCATAAGCCAGAAAGATGGCAAAGCCTTAAAATGTGGGATAATGAATCACTGAGTACAGAAGTGAACTGTTTAGAGGTCTCCTCCTGGGTTTAATTATTTCATTTAAGGAAGAAGTCACAGCGTCAGCTCACAGTCCAGATCTAGTCTGCTGTTTGTTTCTAAAAAATACTTGAACAACAATGGAATATTTAAAAATATAAGAGATCATCTAAAAAATCCTGGATCTTGTGTTTCTTTTGAAATTAAAGAATGGAATCTCTAACAATGTTGGGCCTGTGTGGATTCTGCTTGGGAGCTGAGAAAAGTCTCCTTTTGTAAGAGTGTGCTGCCTGTTTACTACAGCACCCCCAGGCCCACTTTACTCATTTCCATCTTTTGCTTGGTACTTGTGTGCTTTTGTGTTTGCAACCCCTGGGCTAGGGTCACTGTAACCATTAGGAGCTACTGAGGCTTGGAAAATACTCTAGGGCACCCCAGGATTGTGGGTGAAAGACAGCGGGCCCCGCACACAGCCTGAGCCAGAACACAGGGCATCAAGGTTTTCAACTTCCCCAAAAGCATGCTTCTCATTTTTCTCAGTTGTTTCAAGTTGGGAAGCTGTGTGTACCTCTCTCTAGAGATGCCACATAAGAAGCTAAGTTGTGTGCAGTTCAGTTTACACTGCAACTGAAACTTGGCTTCTAGCTTCTTGTTGACAATGTGCTCATATAGGCAAAAAGCTTTCCTTAATACATTTTGTAATACAATTCAGAAACATTAAAAAATAAGTGTTTATCCACTTTTTATAGATCCTGGAGTCTGTATGTTTTCTGAATAGGTAAAATAGTCTCGTGTGAAGACAAGAATTTTGATGAGAAAATTTTCCAAGGGAATCCCTCTACTTAAAATTTTCAGGGCCTTCCCTGACCAGATATCTAAATAAATTCAACACTGAGTAATTTGAGAAAATGTATTCTAGGGTCAATATAGAAGAAGATTTTATTATAAAAGATTAGCACCCTTTGATTTAATTGAAACCTCCTAAGGAATTCAAAGTGCTTTATGGATTACATCTCATTTCCATACCATCCAACAAACTAAATGATCTCTAGTTTAAATGATTCTCAGAGTGAAAGTTAAGAATTGTCATCACAGCTATGTAAAGGCTTTACTTTTATAAGGCTAAAATTATGTAAATAATGATTTAAGTAACATTTTAAATTAGAGGATATTTTTTCTGGGGGATGGCAGATGCCCATTTCTCACCTTCCCCATCTTTTCTCATGCTTTCCCAGTGTGGAAAATAAAGCAGACAGATAGACTGACAGATACACAGACCGTCAGGCGGAGAGAAAGTGACCGTGAACAATAAATGATTAGATAGATAGGTAGGTAGGTAGAGAACAAAACGAGGAAAAAGAGGAACAGAGGGGGAGTTGCGGGGGAGAGATGTTATCAGAGGAAACAGATAAGACTAATGTTTTCTCTAGACCTTCCAAAACGCAGTCAAGAAGAAACAAGAAATGCAAGCCAACAAGCTCCTTTCTTCCTATGTCCTGGTATCATAGCAGGTTTTGAATACTAGTTTTCTGGGTTGTCAAGTTTCAATTCCACTCTCTTAATAAGGCAGAGTGATTACATGGATACATTTAAGGCATTAAAGACCTCCTAATCCTCCCCACCTATATTATTTAGCCAGAACTGTTAATAGGAACAGAATTAACTAATTTTGGCTTTATTCCTATTCCTACCCTGTCCTGATTAAATCTCAATCTGTGCCAATTAGGTCAGTTACTTAAAACCAGATGTGAAAGCATTCAAACTTGAGATTTGTCCTTCATAGGGTAGATATGTCAGACCTGGCTTTCATAGAAAAGTTCAATTTATCCAGATAACCTTTCTTCAGTCATATAGAAGGACTATTTTTCAGCCAAAGATAAAAAAGTAGCTGCCATCTTTTACTTGGATCTCCAAATGATTAATGCTTGAAACTAATAAAACCCAAATGATAGGTTCTATCTTTATACATCTCCATGAAGGAAACTGTACTCAGTCCACACACTGATCACTCAGCCTGTGTGATCATACATATGGTAGGATATCACTGACAGCCCCAGACAGATCACAGGGAGCCAATTTACATGGTGGGTGGTACCCTAGGCTGGGCATGGCACTAGGGGTTTCCTGCCTTAGATGGGCAGCACTCCCAGAGAGCCAAGTCATGTGAGGGTTGATGGCTAATGATGGGGCAGTGACTCACAGCACCACTATGGTGGACAAGGAACTGAGAGGGAACCATTCGCTCTTGAGAGGAGCACCCCCTTTCTCCATCTGGTTCCTGGGCAAAGATGTTGTTGTGAGTTGAGCATCAGAAAGAAGAGGATGCTTGTTAAACAAGCAAATAAGCAGACAGCATTCCAATAATTCACAAACTATATACAGGGTCACAAGCTGTATCCCAAGCTGTGGGCCAACTGTGTCTTAGAACTCAAAATTGTATGTATTTTAGAAAGTATTAAAGTGTATATACTGCATATTATATATCTCCCCACCAGGGCCTGAAGCGCTATTCTGTGATCAAACACAACAGTATTTCTGCAGCAAAATATGTGAATATTCACACTACGTGCATTAAATAAACAATGTACATTTTAGGGAATTCTTCAAGACTCTGTCAGATTAGGTCTGTTTTTACCTAAAGAAAAGAATTTCAGTGTTGAGTGGGTTTTTTTTTTTTTTTTTTTTTTTGGATTTTGTGTTTTTTTGAAATGGTGTCTTGCTGTGTCACCCAGGCTGGAGTGCAGTGGCGTGATCATAGCTCACTCTAGTCTCGAACTCCTAGACTCAAGCAATCCTCCTGCCGGGGCCTCCCAAGTAGCTAGGACTACAGGCTTATGCTATCATGCCCCGCTATATATATATATATAAATTTATTTATTATGATTATTTTTTGTAGAGATGGACTCTCGCTATGTTGCCCAGGCTGGGCTCAGACTTTTGGCCTCAAGCTATCCTCTCGCCTCAGACTGCCAAAGTGCCAGGATTACACGTGTAAGCCACTGTGCGCAGCCTAGATTTTGGAAATGAGCATAAAAGATCGTGAGCCTGCACTCTGCTTCAACTTAAAGCAGTTTAAAAATAAAGATGCTGCAAACTCTACCTCTGGCACTTTTCTTGCTGCTTTATTTTTGCGATTTCCTCCCAAATCTACTCTGTCACCCTGGAAGAGTCCTGAGTTATGCTGCATATTAATGCACTGCATCCACAAACTGACTCATTCAATAAACATGACTGACTTATTGGACATGTACTATCAGCTGGCATCACACTAGGGACAGATAGTGACTCAGCTATTCTATTGAGTGGTCCACTGGAGTCTAAGGCCATGGATTTCCAAATTCTAGACTTCGGAGTTTACCAAGGCTATTGAAATTAAAACAAAGAAATTTTTGTCTTTACACCTTATACTCAAAGGAATTCAACGGTGAACTCTATTCTTAAATTAGCATTTCCAAGTCATCTAACAAAATGCCATCAATGAACAAGTTTATGTGAAATTTAATCTTGGGCAGCAAGTAATACTTGAGAAAATATTTGTTTTTAAATTGTGTTTTATTTTCTTTTCCATTTACTTATTTTCATTGAGAGATAGTTGTCTGACCATTGCTGATTTCCTTTCTAGGAACAAGTTTTTATTATAAAACATCAAAGCATTAATCCAAATAATCCAAAGTTTATTCATTCTCTAAACAAATGAAAATCATAGGAAAGACTTATTATTCCACATGAGTTAGAACTTGGTTTAATTTGAAAATGGAAAAATTACTATCTTAGAGAGATGTAAGCTGACACACTGGAACTAATGATTCCTGTTTAAGGGTCTGTGTTGTTTTGTTTTTATTCTAATACAGCACATCCAATATTCCATTTTGGTAGAATTGTATTTCACCCTTAAGTAATAAAGTGGTCATCCAAAGGATTTTAAGCAGCCTTCCAGATTTGAAATGCTTCTAGTTTGATAAAGACAACTCAGAGAATGACTTAATGAGAAATTCAAAAGATGTGATCATAACACAATATCATGTCAAAAGAGGAAAAAAACCAGTAGGGGTATATTTGGTGTTAAAATGAAGAATACAAAAATTATGGCTCTGAACTTATAGGAAATCAATCTAATATTTTTAGCTTTTTGCCAATACCACACCTGGAACAAAATTTTCAGCCATGATGAAGTATTATTTACACCTTCATAATTTTTTGTTTCTTATGCCAGCAGCCTACAGGAAAATGCAACCCACGAGTTACAAGCAGACAATCTAGGTTTACTTTGAGAAAATTTGATGGATAAAAAATTTTTTTAATTTAATTTTTTTTTTTTTTGAGATGGAGTCTCACTCTGTCACCCAGGCTAGAGTGCAGTGGCGCGATCTCAGCTCACTGTAAGCTCCACCTCCCAGGTTCACGCCATTCTCCTGCCTCAGCCTCCCAAGTAGCTGGGACTACAGGCGCCCGCCACCACAACCGGCTAATTTTTTTTTTTTTTTTGTATTTTTAGTAGAGACGGGGTTTCACTATGTTAGCCAGGATGGTCTCAATCTCTTGACCTCGTGATCTGCCTGCCTTGGCCTCCCAGAAAATGTTAATTTTTACACTTCTTACAAACCTTACTGCCCAGGGGATGAATAAGTGAAAAGCTTTCAGTCAGTTGCCAAAGCATGCATGTATATATATTTTATATATATATATAAAACTACAATAATCTGACATGTTATACACTGTGGGGAAATAGGCAAAAAATTATGCATGCTAAAACAGAATCTTGTCACTATATGAAATATTAAAACTCAATGTGGTTAAACTCTATCAACCATATAGAGCTGAATGCAAGAATCATGAGATGTTAGTGGCACACATTTGTAGAGCAGCCCGCTAACTACAATTCAAATATTAGGTTTGTGGGCTATTTAGCTACATAGGAATGTTAACCTCCCACAGGAAACTCGTAATGGAAAATTCACAGCCCTTGGAGCTAAAAACCTTCACCAATACCTGAATACAAAATATTTATTAAAACAGAGCCTTACTTCTAAGAGATAATTCTGCTTGTTCAGATTATTCCCATATTTAAACTTTATTTTGGGTATCTTTTTCCAAATGTTAGGACATTTTTTAATTGTGCACTCAAAAATTTCATCGGCTTTAAATATGATTTATTCGCTATTTTTAATATTAGTCATCTAGCGCAATGCTACTCAGTCAATGATGAGCATAAACTCGCTTTTATGTTGTGTTGACAGCCTTGTTGACTACATTTATATAGCACATTTAAGATGTTTCATAAAATAAGCACTGATACTTCCTCACTAATAGACCTGATCAGTCCCATGTCCGTGTCCCACCTTCAGAATATAGTAATATTGTATATTCTTTCAAAATTAGTCATCTGATAGAAAGACATGGTTTTATAAAACCATAACAATAAGATATGTGATTACTGGCTTCAAAATGAGAAAACTAAAAAATATGTCTAGAATCCAATTCTTAAAGCTTGTAAGCCGCAAATTGCAATTTTGTGCATAGTATTAAGAGAAGGAAAAAAAAAATATAAATCCACATTTTTTTATCTTATTTCAGTCCTGGAATAGACTAGCTCTTCCTAGAAATGAAATCTGCTCAGAAGTATGATCAAAGGTCACTGTACTCTTTGGACCCTGTTCTATATTGATGCCTTCAGTGAGATCCTTGGCCATGACCAAAATGGCCCTGGCAATTTTCTTACCAAAGTCATCCTTTTCTACCTCATAATGGTTGCAATTTGTACATGTTTGGAAAGTGAACAGAACGCATGAAATACGAATTGAAATCATGATTGACCCTCTAATTCTAGTTGAGTAAAATACCTTGTGAAAATTAGGTAAATAATTCTACCAAAAATGTGGTTTCATTTCGTTATGTCAGGAACTAAAAAGCCAAAGTAGAATGAAAAACAGAATTCAGGCTTCCAACTTTGGGGTTCAACACTGCTATGAATTTCAGAACTGTAAGCCAACACTCTGTCTGACATTTATTACTGGACCAAAGGACAGATATTCCTGCTTGTCTATTTCACTTTTTCTAGGCTCCTTTCTAACTATTCCACCCTAATGCGTCTTAAAAGCATGTATTGTTTTGTACACCCAAGATGACGTCTGAACTGCTTTTCCTTAAGCAGTATTGACATCCAGTGGAGACTCAGATAATTACAGGTGTGTTAAAATCCCTAAGGAATATAGCTCAGAATGGATGCCTGGTTTAAGGTAGTTATCACAATTCAGTAACAAAGATAATTTTTCCCATGCACACAATTGAAACAGAATGAAACAAACAATACTTGAACAGTAGCAAACATAAAGGAGAAAATGTTTCTGACCTGAGGTTGGGAAGCATCAACCTGAGGTTGGGATGCTTAGATATAGCATCAAATTGAACATCAAAATTAAAACTTTTTCTCTACCCAAGACACAGTCAAGAGAATAAAATGATAAACTGTAGGTTGGGGAATATATTTGCAAATCATGTGTATGACAAAAGACTCATTTCCAAAATACATAAAGAACTCTCAAAACTCAATAGTGGACATCTGCTTCAACCCAAATAAATTAACAGGGTCTGAATTTACCTTCTCGAGGAAAACAACCAAAATAATGCAGGTGAAATATATGAAACAATAGTTTTTGAGATACTGGAATTAGATGATAAGGACAGTGATCATTGAGGGAGGGGAAACGGTGATTATCACCTCACTGCCTTGAGAGGGTTTACAGCATGCAGTACAAGGAGGGAGAACACAGAAAGCTCAGAGAGCTCCCTGTGCTGAGGGAAAGGAGCTGAGAATCTGGGGAGGTGAAAGAGGCTACATTTCAGAAGTTACGGTTAAGAAGAGAGTCTGTCTTATTCTTATTCTTCATTGTATGCCAGCCACACACAGAAGGACTGGCACATACTACATTCTTGAAAGCTATTGGATGGATGGACAGACAGATGGCTGGATCAATAGATGAGTGCTAGGGAAAATGGTCCCCAAGTGGGAGCAAGTTCTGAAAGAAAGATTTGTGAATGAAATAAGGGAAGTATTCCTCCATTCTTAGAAAGATTAGTTGGTGTATACTAACTACAAAACTTCTAATCTAACTTCTCGTTGGCCTATGACTTGTTTTTGTGTGTATTCAGTGGCTATCTATCATACATTGTGTACCAACTCTGTTGATGTAATTTTAAATTTCAGTGTAAAATAGAACTTAAATGGGGCACTGTGGAATGAAAATCAGGCTCCGACTTTGGAAGACTTTTTTCTGAAGTCCAAGAGGTGCTGATTTAATGTTCTGTATTTCTTATAAGTCCCTGAGGTTGTCTCCTGTGCTGATTGAGGGTGGGGCTAGACAGCAATTTTTTTGGCCCAGTTAAGCATATTCTGTTGAAAGCTTTCTTGACTCTTGTCTTAATACTTCTTCCCTAACATATTAGCTTTTCTAAAGTTCCCTGAAAAATATGTTTCATTTAAATGTCCAGTCTTTAAATGGCACCAGCGCTAGAAATTTAATATCAAAGTTTACCAGTTATATCTTTAAAAGATTATTGTTTTATGCCTTTGGAAAGTCCAAAGTGATCTAATAGTTTTATTCTACTTCCTTCTGCTTCCATAAGTTGCTTGGGCAACTGATACTTTTGTTAGCCATCTTCTGCAAACAGTCTAGATCTGTGAAAGCTAGATGTCTCAAATTAATATTCTAGTCTGTTCTAGGAGTGGTTGTAGGGGAAGTATATTTGTAGCATATTATACACAGCAATAGGAATTTATGTTTTCTGTTCACATTTCTTCTGTGACTTACAAAGAAATACACCATTGAGTAAAATTTGAGAATTGACAGAAAATGGTGGAGTGAATCAAAACTCCTAAGAATTCTTTTCCTCTTTTTATTAAAACACCTGTAGAATCATCCAAAGGAAGGAAACAATTTAGCAATTTCCAAAATAAATGTAAGTAGGCACATTCCTGTCTGTGTTCAGTAGTATTGAGGCAACCCTGATAGCCAACCTGAGCTATAGACATTGTCTCAAGAAGGACTTCTGACAGAAACCACACGGCCCTGTCCCAGGCCCTCCAGCATAAACTTCAGCAACAGGCAGGATTTCTTGTTTAACCCAGTTTCTCCTCTTGTCTAAATTGCCCAGTACATTTAGTAATTTCCTATAGTGTCTCAGATTCAAGACTCAACCCCGTTTTTTCCATTCCAAAGCCACTTATTTTGTTTTCTGTCTCAGTGTTTTATACCAGGTCTCTGCCTCCCTGTCTTTACACTGCTATTTCGTTTGCATTTTGTCCTTGGATCTTGACTCAGTTTTCATCACTCAATGCTAACTTCCTATCTTACTTTTTATCCCACTTTTAAACCCACAGGTCAATCAAGTCAATCTAGACTCACCTGTATGCTGTTCCTGGAACCTCAGCCCCTAGTATCCCAGACACATGAAATTATGAGTAATGCAACCACATTGAGAAAATAGCCCAAAACAAAAGAAAAAGAAAAGTGCAGAAAATAAACCCTGAAAGGAAATGCTCAAGTAAGAACTATTAACTATCCTTAACAAGATGGGAAAAAAAGAAAAGAAACGGCAAGTATAGACCAGGTTGAATTTGAGGACTACACAGGTTGAAAGTAGTGGCACTAAAAAGCCTAGGAAGTCCTGTGAGGAATCATATTAGTGAAACCACAGGTAGATTCCAGGAACATAATGGAGGAGGCATGATAAGAGACATTAATGTAAGAGAAGATGACAAATGTTGAAAGTAGAACATAAACTAGAAATTAATATCCATTTCTGAAGGAAAATATAAGACAAACATATTAGGACAGATAGCCAAGAGTATAATTTTAAAAAATTTTACAGATTTAAAACAAAACCATAAACTGCCTCCTTCCTAGTTATGAATGGCTTCCTATAGCACAGGAAACAGGTGGTCAAACAACAGGAAATGTAGGTCCTCCATTCTGGCTATCTTCTATCATCTTTTCAACTGCAAAACACTACTCATATTAGACACTGGAGAAAATGACAAATATAGTTCTTGTCCTTAGACTAGTGACAATCAGAAAACAGACAAACCAATAAGTACAATCCATTGTGATCCATACAGTAATAGACACATAATTCTAGGAGTTTTAAATTATTTTTACAGTCAGCAAGAACACCAACTAATCAGGACGGAAGCTGGCCAAAGGGCTGGCCTTGGGTCCTGGAGGCTTCCAACTGTACTGGCACTGCCCCTTTCATTGCTAGATCACGGGGCAGTCCAGAGAGTAATGAGGTGGGGCCAAGGTAACCAGGGTATTGGGACACTTTGGAGGCTCGGAGTAATGGCTGCTATCCAGCCTGCACGGAAGAATTTTAATGTTTTAACCACTGACATGGCCCTTCAGCAGTCTTGTGAAATCTGCATATATCATGTGGGCTCCTGTCTGTTGCATTCATCATAACCCCCATTTAGTTTATCAACTGAAGGCAACAAAGTTGCTCCCAAGCTGGCTAAATTCAAGATATGCAACTAGGAAGTTGATTTCTCCCTTTGCCACTTACTCTACCCTTCCCTTCTAACCTTCAGCAGACTTAATTCTCTTAGTATTTCCCAAAGTCTGATATTCATATGATTTGTAACACACATAATGATGTTAGATCCACAAATGAGTTTTAAAAAATTAATAGCTACGTATATGAAACTAGCAAATCAACCCCTAATTTTGTGGATATTATTTCTTAGAACAAGACTATTTTTTAATGCATGTATTTTAAAACCCAATATCATAGATGTGTTAGAGAAAAGCAAAAATCAGGAAAGTATTAAATGGAGGACAAGATCTGGGGAGTACCGCCCTATCTTAACTGAGATGATTTTCTTCATTCATCTTACATTTTTCTATAATGTATCTCCTTGCCATGGTTAAAGAATCTATTTTCCCCTTCTTTCTACTCTTCTAGGTCTCTCTTTTCCCTTCTTCAGCTCAAGAACTACCTCTTTTTAGAAATAACTATTTCCATATTCATAGCACTAGGGAGCTTCTGAAAACCAGTGATAGAAACTCAACTTGAACTATCTGAAGAAAAAGAAGAGAATTTATTGACTTAAATGTCTAAACCATATGGAGTGGATCCGACTTCAGGAATGACTGGATCCAGGAGCTAAAGTATTGTCAGAACTGACACTTTGTTGTCTGATTACTGGCCTCATTCTTCCTTATAGCAGATCAATTTTTTTCATATCACAGTCCAGGGTCACAACTTTGTAATGTATTATCAATTAAACATTTTCCAATAAACTCACTTAGAAAAATTCTAGGGAAGGAATCTGAACAGAACTAAGTCACATATTTGATGGAAATACATATTTGGAGTGGAAGGAAAGCATTTCTTCAAAAGAAAACTTACAAGAATGGTGGGATAAAATGTAAAAATATCAACTATAAAGAATAAAGAGTGTCATGTAATTTTTTGTCAAATTTTTGATGTTTTAAATGCTTGTCTCATATTAGAGAACCTCAGGTTTCTGAAGGGCAAAAAATTCTGTAAGAGCATGTACAGAGGTGCTTCTCTTATCTTATAAAGGGATCTTAAGATTTTACAGATGTGGAGATGCTTGAAGGATGAGTAATATTTTGCTACCTGAGCAGTAGGTAACAATTTAGACAAAGGAAACAATACATGAAAGTCAAGAAGAGATAAAAGAGCAAAGCCCGAGAGAAAATAATACTTAGCAGTGTGCTGACTTATTTCCTCCCTGTCATTCCCAACAGAGTTGTACTGACTAGCACAAAAACAGAGTGCTGTTACACCGACCAAAAGCAATAGAAAAATGACCAGGGAGCTGTATTAATCAGGATAGACCAGCTGCTATAGGAAGTAACCTGAAGATCTCTGAAGCTTAATGCAATACAAAATTTGCCTTACGTCACTGTCCAATGAGTAGGAAGGGTGACGAAGTCTCTGCTCCATGTAGTCATACAGGGACCCAGGATCCTACTAACCCATGGCCTTGACATTATCTATTAATAGAACAGTGGCTCTTAAATATTAGTGTGTATCAGAACCACCTAGAGGGCATGTTAATACACATATTGCTGGGCTGCAAAGCTTATAGCTTGCAGTGAACACCAAGAATTAGTTCTCAGACAATTCCAGCTGAGCGAGGAGGGGGACAGCTCTTGCCACCCCAGAATCCCTCTGTCAAGTATTTATTGAAAGGGCTTGTTAAACTACAAACATCCACTAGATGGTTTTTTGAGGTCAGGTCGTGAGACACCTATGGCCTTGTAAAAGCACTCAAACCTCATTCTCAAGAGGCTGTTTTCAGCGTTCCTTATCACACACTTCACTCCTTGTCCTGTTTTCAGGGTCAAGGAGTTACATTCTCATGCACAAATAACATACACACAGTGCCTCAGTATTTTTCCATGCTCCGACCTCAAATGCCATGTACATAAGCTTGAACATGTTGCCGTGCACTCGCCTCACTGGGCCTCACCTCCAGAGTTTCTGATTTGGTAGGTCTGGGGTGGGACCCAAGACCTGCATTTTGAACAAGTTCCCAAGTGATGCTGATGCTACTGATCTAGAGACAACATTTTGGGAACCACTACGCTAAAGCCCTTAGGGTCTGCCTTTTCAGCACTCAGCTGGTGAATGAGGGAGAAGACAGTATTTAGAAAAAGCACACTTGCTCTTGCCTTAGCTCAGAGGTGACAAATATCACTTCTATTCCTCACATTCATAATGGAACTAGTTAGCCAGCCCTACCTAGACACAGAAACTCTGGAAACGTGTTCTAGCAATATGGCAGAGAAAGGGAGAAGACATGATTTCTTTCTTTTTTTTTTTTGGACATTGACAGTTAATATTACAGAGTATAACAGAACTAAAAGCTTAAAAGAAAATATGAAATTCCCTCCTGTGGACAAAAGTGACGATTTGGTCACTGAACTATGAGATCGAAGAATACACTCATTTTTTAGAGTTAGATTCAGATAATATTTTGATGTTGCCATTCAGCTATTTTGTTCTTTCATTTAAGAAAATACAAAGATTTAGAATTATTCTGGATGGGTTTATTAGATAGTTTGCTCACAAGCATACCTTCAAACTTTAGTTTGCCTCGTATCCTACTTTTCTTTTTGGAGTGGAGTTAGACTGTGTCAAATCCTTTGTGAAAGTAGATAGATTGTAAGTTATAAAAAAAACAAAACCATGCTTATATTTAAATAAAAATTGTTTCCCACTGGGAGGGTGAGTTAGTAAGCTTCATTTCAGTTTGGGGCTCACAATCCAGGTAATGTTTTTGCCAAAATCATCCTTGCCTTTTGCTAACTTAATGATAATTTGAGAGGTTAAAATAGCTTCCCTTTGCTTATTATACAAATGAGCTGTTATGGAGTATATGCATGAATATGGTACTCATCTGGTGCCTAATTCATAATGCAGAATAAATAATGTGGCAGTTACCTCCCAAGTTGTAAGTTGTCTTCACCTGCAGATTAATTCTTCCAGCTGCCATTTGCTTGCTGAATTTTCTTTCAAATACAAAAGAACAGTAATTATGTCCTATTTTTAATTATGCATCCAATCTCAAGGGAAGAAAGGAATCTGATTGTTTCCATACACACTGAAATATCTTATCCTCACTCTGGACTTGCCATTGCTTTGACTTGCCATTGCACTGCAGTTGAATAAATGGTTTGTACTTGGCTTATTTGAATTTTCGACTCTTCTGAGATTGCAATTCCTTTGAATGACAATGTAGAATTACAAAGATTTTTAAGCAACAGACTTTTTGACATCTCTAATTCATTATTCCTTGCAGAGAGACTTTGTCAGAAGCTACAAATTGTGGGGCTTGTTAAATTTTATGAACATGCAATAAAAAACCCTGGAAAACTTTGATCAAATTTCAGGCTCTCAAGATATATTCAGCTTCTACAAGCAATTTAACGTTATATTAAATTAGTAGAAACTTATTATTAGGAGCATTTTTTTTGAGATTAATCTTTACTCCCCTAATACAAGAGTGAAGAAAGACTAAACCTCAGTAAAGCTAATACAGGGGTTTAACAGAAGCCACTTCCATAATGAGATTATAAACTAGAAAAATCAATGGATAATGTGGAATCCACTACTCTTGCAAATATCTAGCCCTACGTGTCTGTTTCCTAATATAAAGTACTCGGCAACTGGCATGTGATAGGCAGACTGGTGTCATGAAAAGAGAGGCTTTGCTATCAAAAGACTCCAGATCCAAGCACTCTCTCGGCAGCTTTCTAGTTGTGGCCTTGCATTGTTAATTTAATTCTTCTAAATTTCTGCTTCATTATCTGGAAAATGGGAATAAGGCCGTGAGAAAGGCAATAATCTTCACTGCATAAGGCTGTGAAGATGGCTTGTGAAGATCTGTGTGGAAGCATGTTGTGCAAGTATCTCTTACAGCTGTAAATCTGGGTTGCTGTTTCACTGACCCAGTGCTGAGCCTAAGACAAACATTACAAAGTATGTGCTTTATGGTCCCTGTATTAGTCCATTCTCACACTGCTATAAAGAAATGCCCAAGACTGGGTAATTTATGAAGAAAAAAGGTTTAATTGACTCACAGTTCTGCATGGCTGGGGGTGTCCTCAGCAAACTTACAATCACGGTGGAGGCAAAGCAGAAGCAGAGACCTTCGTCACGAGGCAGCAGGAAGGAGGAGTGCTGAGTGAAGGGGGAAAAGCCCCTTATAAAATCATCAGATCTCATGAGAAATCACTATCATGAGAACAGCTTGGGGGAAACTGCCCCCATGATTCAACTACCTCCACCTGGTTCCTCCCTCAATCCTTGGGGATTACGGGGATTACAATTCAAGATGAGATTTGGATGGGGACACAAAGCCTAACCATATTAGTCTCCTTGCCTGAGTCCTGCTTCCTGGGCCAACCATCCCCTAATGCCTTGTTTGCCCAGCCTCACCCGTTTGTGCTGCTTCTGTACTTCACTCAGTCGATGCTCTACTTGAAGGCTTTGTCTCAACTATGCTGTCTTTTGGAAACAGATGTACAAGGTGGATGCTCACAGCCATGACCATTTGAACTGGCAGTGGCTTTCAAAACTTTGAAATCATTTTGCATGGATAAGACTTTTTTCAGCTCTTCACCTAGATGCTGGCCAGTCCTGAATATTACATATCTTCTCTATCAGTTTTGAAGGTGCCATTTCAACCTTGCAGCCAAGTGTATCCCAAACTTTGATATAGAGTAGTGTTCTTGTTTTGAATTTTCTGTCTAGATGATCATGAGCAAGTCACCTAACTTTCCTGAATCCAGTTTATGTATCTATAAATAAGGAAAATATTTCCTTAAGACTGTTTTTGGAAGGATTTAATAAGGCAATAACTACAGTAAGCTAAGAATTATTGAGCAGTTATTACATACTAGGAATTTTTCTATGTACTTTTTATGTAATGACTCAGTTCATCCTCACAATAACCCTATGAGGTCAGATTATTATCCCCATTTATAGACAAAGTCCAAGGGGAGTAAGCAATTTGTCCCAAATCATACAACCAGTAATTGCTGGAACTGAGACTTGAATCCAGACCACCTGGCTCCAGAGCCCACATGTTTATCATACACATCAGGTACTCAGTTAATTGAAGCTGTAATTATCCACAGCAGAAAAAATCACAAATTTACTCACACAACATGACTTAGACAAGGAAATGCTAGTGTAGTAAAAGGAACATAGAACAAAATAAGTTAGATTTGAGTGTTAGTTTGTATATGTGAACCCAAAATATCTGAGACAGGTCTCAACCAACTTAGAAAGTTTATTTTGCCAAGGATAAGGATGCATCCACGACACAGCCTCAGAAGGTCTTGACAACATGTGCCCAGGGTGGTCGGGGTAGTTTTCTTTTATATATTTTAGAAAGACATGAGACAGTAATCAATATATGTAAGATGTACAATTGATTCAGTCTGGAAAGGCAGGACAATTCAAAGGGTGGAAGGTGGAGTTCCAGGTCATATGTAGATAAGAGACAGAAGGTTGCACTCTTTTGAGTCATTGAGCAGCCTTTCACTGAATACACAATTTAGTCTGGCTCAGTGAATCTGCATTTTTACATAAACAATAGGGCAGAGGAAGCAATCAAATATGCATTTATCTCAGGTGAGCAGATGGATGACTTTCTGTCCTGCACCTGTGAAGATCAGCTATCGGTTAACATTGCCAGGGTGAAATTCAGGAGAACTGTTTTAGAGTAAAGATCTTGAGGCCTACAAGGAATTGTCTTGTGGCCAAACTGTGAGGGCGGTCTGTAGCTTTATCTTTATAGCTACCTTATTTAGGAGTAAAATGGGAGGCAGGTTTGCCTGACATAGTTTCCAGCTTGACTTTTCCCTTGGCTTAGTGATTTTGAGGTCCCCGAGATTTATTTTCCTTTCACACTTAGGCCAGTGAAACAGCCTTTGCAAAAAATTATAACTGAGATTTCGTTTCTTTTTGCGTTTGTTGCTAACTGTGTGATCTTTGACAAGCCACTAACTTAATTGCTTCTAGGTTGTTTCCTCCTATGGACAACAAGAATACTGATTACTAAATTGCAATGTTGTTTGAAAAACGAATGCCATACTTTCTTAAGAACGCCTGACCCATCAAAGCTGGATAAATATGGGAGGTTTTTTTTAAGAGAACATTATTTCTGTTTCCTAATCTCTTTTTGTGCTTCTTTGTAGCAAATGTACTCTATCGTCTTCCACACTGGGACCCCAGACACTCATGGAGGAGGAAATTCTTGACCAAAAATATGGTATGCTTGTACTGACTTTTTTTTTTTTTTTTGAGATGGGGTCTCATTTTGTCACCCAGGCTGGAGTGCAGTGGTGTGATCTTGGCTCACTGCAACCTCTGCTTCTCGGGCTCAAGCAATCCTCCCACCTCAGCCCCAAGTAGCTAGGATCACAGGTGTGTACCACCATCCCCAGATAATTGTTTATATTTTTGGTAGAGACAGGGTTTTGCCTTGTTGCCCAGGCTGGTCTTGAACTCCTGAGCTCAAATGATCCACCTGCTGCGGCCTCCCAAAGTGTTGGAATTACAGGCGCGAGCCACCGTGCCTGGACTACATATTCTTTTATTCCTTTCTACAGTTTATGAGAGAGAGATTGGTTAATCTAAAAGAATGGCTTTGTAATAGTGGAATTTCAAGTAACTGTTTTGGTCACATAGGTGAGCTATTTAAGGCCAAAGGAATTTTCTCAATGTGCTTGAAATCACAAATCATACCATGTAGGTCACCCCTAAGGCAGGCGTTGCAAACTGGCCTAAACAGTACTGTTTGCAACACAGTGCTTCAAAAAAAACAATGGATATAAATCACTAGAGGTTAGAGGCTCAAATGTCTCAGTAACTTATATCCCTTCAACTTGGCCACCATCAGAGACAGGTGAATTTGCCATTTTTGTAGATTAGCACTTTTCTAGAACTTTGGGGAAAGTTTCAGTTGCTTAAATGAGCCACAAAGGATTGAACACCATGTGCTGTTTTTATTCATTTAGTTCTGTACTTTAAGGGAAAAGACCTTAGAATTTACTGTCAAAGGGAAAAATAACAAACCCTTTTGGATCTTAACCTCTAGTCAGTTTTAACCCACCCAAAAACTCCCTAAAGTACTTAGATATGTTGCATAGCACTGATTTATAGGGCAACAATATTTAATTAGGCTATAACTAAAGAACCTACACCAGAGATCCACAGTCAATGAAAACAATAGTAACAGGTTTATACTCATGAGATAATCCAGATGACTTTCCTCTCTATTAAAACCTACCTTGGCTTGCAAACAGCTGTGTAAAAATAATCCCTTGAACGGATTTCCACAGTAGTATTTGCTTAAACAGCTGCCCGCAGAATTGATGAGTGTAAGAATGAATTGATAGGAAGGCATTTGAGGATTAAGACTAGGATATGAACATTTCCCAAACCAAGTGAACCTCTGGAATGCTAGACAGGACTATTTTAAGAGACAATGTGTGTAAGTTACTATAGGGAATTTGACCTCGCAGGCATCAACTGTCATACCTGTGACCACTGTTATTTATTTAGCATCATTAGCAAAACAGTTGACTCTACAAAGCATAAAACACCAATAAAGTCTGTACTTCAGGGTGACACATACTTCATATTTTGTGTTAATCTGAGTTTTTCCAAGGGAAGTTAAAGGTCCTTAGTCCAGGTGAAGAGACTAAGGTAAGTGTTCTGGAGCAAATGTACCATCTAACTTTTTCTGGTGCTTATATGGAAAGTTAGTCACTCAGGCCCACCCACAACACTTGTAGAGCACAGAGCAAAAATACAGATGGAGGTTTTGACATCATATGCCAAATATTTAACATGTACTTTCAATATATAAAATTTACACTTTTGCTACCTTGACATAAAAACCTTCAAAATGATCTGGAAGATAGGGTTTGCATTTAGAATTCTCAGATCTCTCCAAGTTCCAAGCTCTATGTTAGAACCTGGCCTCCTTTCTGGGGTGCATGACCTTGCATCTCTCTTACACTGTGAGGGACCACACCCCAGCATGCATGTGGACACCCCAATAAGCATGTTCAAGCTTTATCCACAGCCCTGAAAACAGCCACCTTTTGGCCAAATCTTAGCCCAGGGGAGCACACACTGGCAGCATGGCAGCATAGACCATCCTCAGAGGGACAGACCAGACAAGAGGTCGATACAAGTCTGAACACTGGCTTGGGACAATTTGGCTAAGGAATTCTGGGGTTGTCCTATCTGGAGTACAACCTAGAAAGGCTGGGGACCACTAACTCTGGGTGACACATTCCCTTGACTAATTTGAAGGTAAGGGCACAGCCCAAGGAGGGCAAGAGCAGGACCCTCTAATGTGAGGGATCCTCTAATGTGAGGGACCCTCTAAAATTGAGGACTCAAGGTAACTCAAGGTAGGAGTCTCTTTTGCCTCTTCTGCCTAGGTCTAAGAGCAAAACTGGTTCTATCTAGAATGAAATCACAGTACTTTATCCATACTTTTATCTTTAGCACTCAGTATTGGAAATACGCACTGGATAATGTCATAATTCTGGTCAGTCCAGAGAATTCACAGAAGCCTGGGTGGTTTTAAGCTATTCTAAAAATTTGATTTGGTCGGCACCTGAGCTATTTTTCAAGGCGTCTAACTCCCATGGATGATGCTAGGCTAAATGGCACTCCAAGGGGTGTGCCAAGCAAGTAATGTCCCAACAGCTGGTTGTCTCAACCCAGCACTTCAACCCTTATTCCATTTGGAGTAAACACTTGACTTGGATGTTTCAAGTTCGGGGTCAGAACCAACCTGACTTCTCAGAGTGTAAGCTACACTTCTTGTAAGGATTTTTTTTCCCTCTTATTAACCAACCAAGAGGTTAACTAATTACATAATTTGTATGCATTGTTTCAGTTTTCCATTTTTTCACATACATTTTTCCAGAGCCAAGCAATGTTTATCATTTTCTTCCTCAGAGTCTGAAATGCAGTGCCTTTCATAAAATATGCTATTATAAAGGATTAGCTGAGTTTCTCTTAAAGGATGAAAGAAAATATATTACATTTACCTAGTCTTGTTTTAAAAGCATTGCAATTATCTTCATTTTAATTTTTATTTGTAACAGAAGTTGGAGGTTTTCAATTTAATCTTCTCATTTCAAATGGTGGAAACTGAAGCCCAGAGAGATCAGGAAACCTATACAATATCACACAGCATAATTCATGGTAGAACTGATTCCATTCCAGAGTCCTGTGTGCTTTGCTAGCCCCAATCAATCACAGCTTTCATTACATCACACAACTCTACTTTCGAGGGGAGAAAAGAGAGGGACTAGGAAAATTAGGGATTTGGGGAGCCCTGGATAACCTGGGTGCAAAGGTCATGGGTCTTGTGTTTTGCCATCTTACTATTTTTTCTTTTCATCTGAGCCTCCTAAGATGGAGCTTGCTGAGGATGGAGGGGAAGGGATATCATTGATTCTGTTTAGACACTTTAAAAAACTAAAAAAAAAAAAAAAATCACCAGCCAATGACTGAGAAACGAGTGCAGGTAATAATTTATAACTAAATGAAACTGCTTGTTGCATAAATAATCAAAATTCACTACTTATAGCAAATATTTCTAATGTCTTAACCATGTGATTTCAGTGTTACAGAACCTGAGAGAGAAGAAAAGTTTCAGGAAGACGATGACAGTCAATAAGATGAAATGATGAAGTAAATGTAAACATGATACAGACTGAGGCCATTGGCTCTGAATATCGAGACATCACTGGAATGTTTTGAGAAATTAACTTTGATTGCGAAGAGATTAAGAATTAGAATGCAGTAGGAAAATGAATTAACATCTGATAAGAAAAGAAACCAAAGAGTAAAGACCTGTAGTTCTGCAACACAGGTGCTCATCAGAAAAATGTGGGTAACTTTTTCAATAATAAACCCCTGGACCCACCCCCTGGAAAATCTGCTTAAGTATATCTGGGGCAGAAATGGGAAATTTACGTTTTTCTTCAACATTTCAGATGGTTCTGTTGGCTCTTTAAAAATTATGGCCTACGGGTAACAGGATGAAGAAATAATTATTTGCCAACTACGGTATAGACAGTATAGAATGTTTTCAACAGAGGGAAAGGAGCAGTGAGTAATGAGGAAGAAAATAAGAAAGAAATAGGTGGGAAGTGGTGGTCGAGAGCCGAAGTTCTCAGGCAGGGGTCCCCAACCCCTGCTGTCCTGTGTTGTCTGGTACCAGTCCCTGGTCTGTTAGGAACCAAGCCGCACAGCAGGAAGTGAGCTGCGGGCTAGTGAGCATTACTGCCTGAGCTCTGCCTCCTGTCAGATCAGCAGCGGCATCAGATTCTCACAGGAGCATGAACCCTATTGTGAACTGTGCATGCAGTTCCTTATGAGAATTCCGTGGTCCTTATGAGAATCTAACTAATGCCTGATGATCTGAGGTGGAACAGTTTCATCCTGAGATCATCCTCCCTCCCCTGTCTGTTGAAAAACTGTCTTCCACGAAACCAGCCCGTGGTGCCAAAAGGGTTGGGGACTGCTATTTTAGAAGACATGAAAGCGTGCTATCTAAAGTATAGGTGGAAGAAATAGCATTTGGAAAGGATAGTGGAGATGTCTTCCTTTGAAAACATGTAATAAGGACCTTGAGGATAAAGGTTCCACCATGTTTTGAGGCAAAAATCTGGTAGATGGCTTGGATCTCATAAGCAGATTAAGTGATGATCTACCAAGGAAAATAGTGGTTCAGCTGGAGTCTGGAGGAATGTGGCGTGGTTCCTCAGAATGCCCCACTGGAGCCACTCCAGCCAGTATGAGATGAATGATTGTGCATTAGATGGGCTTTAAATGTTGAATGTAGATTTTAAAAGAGTAAAACAGAAAAGATTCACAGGTGACTCAAAGTCTAATAATAGCCCTAACTTATAGTTTAACACATCTTTATAAACGACTTCTTGTAGGCTCTTCTTGTTTTGCTCTTCTATGTATCCTTCCACCAACATTTGCACTGAAGGTTTCCTCTGCCTGAAGCATTCTGCTCCCACCCCCGACTTTAGTTAGGTTCTTGCCAAATCACCTTGTCACAGAAATCTTCCTTGACCACCTATATTAAATAGGACTAACTCTTCTATCTTTCTTAGTCTGCTTTTTGTATACAGGCTTATACCCGATATATTATACATTTATTTTTTATTGCGTTTCCCCATCCTAACTAAAATGTAAGCTGCAAGGAAGCCAAAGCTGATTTGTTTTGTTCTTTGCAAAAACCTCAATGCATGTAGGAGCACCCAGCACATAGTAGATGCTCAAAGTATATTTGTTAGATAAATTTAAAAATAGTTGCTACTACTGCCAGAGCCTAGCCCAGACACTTCTGCGTAATTAGCCCTCAGCAAAAGTTGATCAATGTTTTGATGAATTAAATGAATGATTGTGGCAGCCAGCTGTCAAGATGACCTCCAGTGTAAACCCTTGTGTAGCCCCCTCCAACAATAAATAGGGCTGATTTGAGCAACCAATAGAATATTGTGGAAATGATGACATGTGACTTTTGAGACAAGGACATAAAAGACACTGGGGCTTCCACCTCAGTTTCTTCATCATTTGATCTAACCTCTGGGAGAAGTGAGTTGCCGTATATTGAAGATTCTCAGTCTTAGGGAAAGGTCTGTAGAGTGAGGACCATAAATCTGTCAACAGCCAGCACCAGCATGCCAGCCCTGTGAGTGAACCAATTTAGAAGTGGATTATCGAGCTCTAGTCAAACCCCTAGATAACCACAGCCCTGGCCAACATCTTGACTGCAAGATCTAGTTATTCCCTGAGACGGAATAACTAGCTATGCAGTTCCCAAAGTTCTAAGCCACATAACTGTATGAGATAACATTTATCATTGCTTAAGCCAGTAAGTTTTGGGATAGTTTGCTATATAGCAATGGACAATTAATAACAGTAGCTTAGAGCCAGTTTTCAAAATTTTGTCCCTTCTGTTTGATGTCAGGGACAGATCTATCGTTTATGAAATGTATAGTTTTCCCTAAAACCAAATAAAACCAGCAGGCTGATTTTGGGAACAACGATTTCAATAGATCTTGAAGTGTTTTCTATGCCTTATCACTGACAAGATTGCTGGCCACATGAAAACCTAGCATGCATTTATAACATGAATTCTTCACACAGTGATCATTTAAAGATCCTTAATATCCAGATTCTATTAATAATCCAACCCACAATCCTAGGAGTCTTAATCAAAGGATTACCAAAGTTCCATTACTTCCTGCATTTAGCTTACTTATTTATTTATTTGATCATTTTCTTTGCCAAAGGGAAAGAGAAAAACAATAACAAACAAACACCTTGTTTTACAATTTACTCTTCCTTTTATGGATGACTATGCTCATTTTCTCCACAGATAAGAATATGTGTGTTTCTTTGTGTGTGAAAAGAAGCCGCCTTGAAGGATCTATTTAAAATTTGACTCAGTGATTAGTTACTGTTAGGCAATGTGGGCAGACCTCTAAGTGAAGTCCTGGCAAGTGTGACTCTGGAAAGCTAAGGAAATGGAGAATATAGTTAAAATTCTGACACTTGGAACCTCATCTGAGAGTCATATGTTTTTGTCATGAGGTGGGAGGAATTACTGGGTGAGTGACACGTGGAAGGGATAAGCAGGAGGCATGAATTCTTAAGGGCACTTGTGAATAATATTATTATGTCTGAAAGAACCACAAGGGAGCTGAAAATTATAGAATCACAAATTTATAAATAATGAGATTAAAGGGAACTTCTTGGATTATAACTCAATTTTCTGTTTCTTCAGAGGAAAGAGTCACATGATGATCGACTGTTTTGAGCAATTAGAAAAGGAATATCCTGCCTTTCCTTTCTAGGGCCACCTACTTCCTAGTCACAAGAAACTGAAAACAAGTAAAAAAAAGAAAAATACTATACTGTTTTACACTGATTTGAGCAAAGGCAGAGATGAGACAGTGTGAAGTGATGCAAAGATGAGGAGAGGAAGTACAGCAATGTGACTGCATTTCAGCTGCTGTGTGCCTGGGAGAGGCAGATGACACAGCAGGCACAGGGCAGTGCAAGAAAGCTAGAGAGGGGAAGAAGGGCCAGTTGAGGCTGATTCTGGATGAGTGGCCAAGGAGTTGCCTTTTCTTTCTATGTGCAATTGAGTCATTAGAAATTTCAAAGCAATTTTTAAACTGTAATTGCTAAACTGACTTCAATTGACACAGATAACATCTGTTTGCTAAAGTGTTAAAATAGAGACTGTACTGAGGGTTGAACCTACCAGTTCCCTTAGGCTCACTCTTCAAATTTTGTTTTGTAGATAAGCTAAGATTTATATATCTAGCCCAGAGGGGGTCAGAGCTTTTCCTTTGATAAAAGAAAGTTGGAAATAGAGTCACATGTTTCTCAAAGGGGGTTTTCTGATTTTAAACACAGTACAATCCCAAGTGGCCAGTCACAGAAAATAGTATCTAGTCTACCTGAATTACAGATCAGGTGAAAAGCAGGTGAGAAAAAGTCCCTGTTCTGTTAAAAAAAAAAAAAAAGCCAACTTGGCCTTTGCATCTTGCAGCACCAATGTATGTAGACCATGGCCATAATGAAGACGGAGAGCTGGACAATTGCTTTAAGATGCCAGGGTTACCCATCAGGGTGGATAAGCAAAGACAAGGTCTTCTTTTGTAAAAGAAGAGGAGAAGATTGAGGAGGGGAGAGGAAGGGAGGAAGGAAAAGGAAAGAAGGAAGGAAAATTAGTAAACCAGAGTGAAGTCAACCTAGCAATTACAGTTTAAAATTATTTCCAACCTTGTTTCCAGTACTTCTTCAAGTTTGCATAGTTCCATTGCATAGTAGCCTGACCTTGGGCTGGTCATCACAGTTTATAAAGTAGAAGACTCTGTCAACTGAAAAACACACTGTTATTTTATGTGACACTATGAAAGAACAACAAAAAAATGCTGCCAATTAAACTATGACACTGTATTGATGGTAAAGTACATCTCTATATCAGAGATGTCAAAATGTAGAAAAAATATGAATCTTAAAATTAGTAAAAGCCTCAGTTTCCTTTTCTGTAAAATAGAGATGACAATAGTACTGCATAAAATTCTTTGCCCCCGCCCCCAGATCAATTTCCAACCTCTCCACCTGGTTCTGTGCCCTTGGATGCTGACCTCTAATGCAGTATTTCCGCTGGATTCCTGGTTGGGCTTAGTTGATGGGGCTGTGACCATAAATTAATGGATATGAGGTGAAAGAGTTTGAGGGTTTGTATTTCCCTTCATTGCTGTGGGGATGAGTGAGATAGTAGCTGTGATCCTCTCCACAAGGCCACACTTCAACTTGGTGGCTTCTCTCCTATGGCTTGGGTTTGCTTCAGGTTTCATTTCATTCATCATTCAGGTCTGCCCCTTCAGACCTAGGGTTGGGGAAGAGGTGGGCAGTGGATCGGCTTCCCGTGTTGCTGATTCCTGGATGCTTCACCATCTCTTCTTGGTGAGGTTAACTTTCCCCATAACTTTGTAACTAGGTTTTCATTAAGTTTTGTTTCTTGCTGGAAGCTTGACTGATACAAGCACCAACTTCACATGATTGCTGTGAATATTAAATGAAGTAATGAATGCAAGGAACTTAGCTTAGTATGCAGCATGGGGGAAGCACTCTAGATAATCAGGTTTTCTGTTTTTCAAACACGTTAAACTCACTCCTCTCTTTGGGCAGTTGTACTAGCTGTTCGCTCCTTCAATATTCTTGTCTCAGGTCTTCGTAGGGCCGGTGCTTTCTTGTCATTTAGATTTCAGCTCACATGTCATTACTCAGAGGACACTATCCTATCCACCTTATCTGTTAATCTAAATTAATTCCCCAGGCATCCCCTATCTCATTGCCTCTCATTTCCTTAATAGACATTTTTTCTTCATGATATTTCTTGGTTACATATTTGCTTATACCCTAGCTCTCTTGAATAGAATTTAAGTGTGATACATTGCTTTTTTGTTCCTTTGCCCCTGATGAATCCTGTGTCCAGAATGTAGCTAGCATGTAGTAGGGTTGCAGGACAAGTTACCTGGGAGCATATATTCTGAGGTAGAATGAGTGCAAAAGCCTTATTGGGAAGTAACACCTAAATTTGTGAAAGAAGGGAGGAAGCATTATGGATAGGGAGGGCCATCAGACCCTTTTCTGACATCATAAGATTTTAGCAGCCTAGCAAGGAACTCTTGTTCGAAGGTTTCTCATTAGAGGAGTCCCACATTGCCAATACATTGTCTCGCTACTTTATTCAGTCATAGGCTGAAGGTCGTCCCCAGAAAAGCATGACCTCAGCTGTCATCACCTTGCTCACTCATTGTCTGGGGCACTCCAAAAATAGCATGACTTTAGCTACAAAGCTGAGGAAGACCCTGATAAAGTTGACATCTAAAGACAGCGAGCTAAACAGGCTCTTTGCAGCTGGGTTCTGAGTTCTTTCTCAATGGGGAGGCCTAAATAACACATCTCTGTGTCTGCCAATAAATATTTTTTGTGGAATGGAACGCTCAATATGTTTGTTTTAAAATTTTTTGTCTTAACTTTATCATCATACCTAAATGAATCAAATCAAGAACAGAAGGATGTGCAAGCCTCTAATCTAACTGTTCAGCTAGATAACAGCTAAGTTAATACACATACCACAAGGAAAGAACATACTTGGCACTTTTGAAATACTAAAATATAGCCAGTGGGGCTGGAGAATAAGAAACTAAGGGGAGAATAGAAAGAGATGTCAGAGAAGTAGACACTGTGAGATTTTAAATAAGGATATTACATAATCTGATTCACATTTTAAGAAAATCACTTGGACTGCTTTATGGAGAATAGGTAATAGACGGACAAGAGCAAAAGTAGGGAGACCAGACCAGTTAGCAAGCTAAGGTGAACATCCAGGCAAGAGCTAAGAATGGCTAGGACTATGGTATTATGGCAGAGATGGAGAAGCAGACAAAGTTGGGATATATTTTGGAGGTAGAGTTTTAGGACTTCTAAGATATTAGAGCTGAGAGAGGAGGGGAGGAGACTCAAGGACAATGTCTTGATGTTTGGTAGGTGGTTGTGTCATTTTCTAGGATAAGGAAGAGTAATTAAGGAACAACTTTGGAAAGGAAAGATCTGCTTTGGACTTGTAACTTTTGAAATGTCATAATTAGGCATCCAAGTGAATATGTGAAATAAGCAATTGGCTCTATGAATCTATAGCTCAATGGAGATATCAAGAGCTGGAGATAAAATCATATGCAATTGGCATGAAGATGGTAGTTAAAGCCAAGGGACTTTCCTGGAATTCATGCATCTAAATGAATGAATGGGATTTCCTTCAGGGTGCTGACTCTCCTGGGGAAGCTTCATGATATATACATTTTTCTAATGATGTTGATCCATTGGCATAATTTTATTGGGCCTCAGATTCTAAGTAAAAAAAGAAAAGAAGAAGTTAGTGTTCTGTGAGATTAACAAGTTTTAAAACAAACAAAAGAAGTAGATTGTGATTGAATATCTCTTATTGCAAACTGCGCAGACCACCAAGCTCAGTAAAAGCATTGAGTAAGTGGAAAAACAATGTTGTATGAAAGGACATGAATGAAAACTATCTGGGAAACAACCCATATTTTGGTGTCAGGAAAGCCTGAGTTCAAGTCATGACTCAACCACTCACTGACCACAAACAAACTGTAATTTTCATAAATTTTTCACTTATTTTCCTTTAGGAGATAATAGAGATTATAACATCAATCTTTTGGAGTTTTTTTTTTTTTTTTGACAGAGTCTCACTCTGTCACCCAGGCTGGAGTGCAGTGGTGCAATCTCGGCTCACTGCAACCTCTGCCTCCCAGGTTCAAACAATTCTCCTGCCTCAGCCTCCCAAATACCTGGGATTACAGGTGCCCACCACTGCACCCTGCTAATTTTTGTATTTTTAGTAGAGATGGGGTTTCACCATGTTGGCCAGGCTGGTCTCAAACTCCTGACCTCATGATCCACCCACATTGGCCTCCCAAAGTGCTGGGATTACAGGCATGAGCCACCGTGCCTGGCCAATTTTTTGGAGTTTTTGTGCAAACTCTACATGACTACAGATAGAAGTATCTAGTAACAGTAATAACATAGTGACGGTTCAATACATTTTAACTATTTAAAGACTCTTTTGATGTATTAGTAAATTGAAATGAAACAAGCCACCATAACATCATCAGAATGGATGGGTGTTTGCCTAAAGCTACCAGACTAAAAATGTCTACTCAACAGAGGGATCACAGTGAGATTTACTCTTTCCATGGGAAAAAAAGGGAATGAAACATGGAAACGGATGTGAATCCCATGAGCTGAATGGGTAGTAGGCTTGTGTGTTATGCTGTTGTGTCTAGCATGGCTGGGGGATCTAAACTTCTTTATTGCTTTTCCCTATTAATAAAACATCTTTAGCACACCCTCTCTCTACCACTCTCCCCTTCCCCCAGGCGTCCCTTCTTTGGAGAACAATGGTCTAGAAAACTGCCTAGCAAAGCATCTCAATGGGGCTTAAGTATTTTATACTCAAAGGTTCACAAGTTGGCTGCCTTTGGAGTTAATCAGCCTACTGACATATTTTGTTTGTTTGAAATGGCATTTAACATTCTAGCCAAAGTTTAAACACTGAAAGAACTTATATATACATATATTTATATAGATGTTATATATATATGTATATATAAACACATAAACACACACGTACCCATATATAGGTATACACACACACATATATATATAAGAAAAAAAAGAAAAAAATTGAATCTTCCCTTAAAAAAATTCCCACATGGCAAGAATTAGCTGGATATGTTCTCTTTAGTTTGCTGCACTCCTTACCATTCCTTACTGTTTTCCAAATGAGGCCAGGATTGGCTACCATTTATTATTATGCTTGGATTATTATGTTTTTATAGTAAAAGCATAGTTATCTAAATCCACAATTAAACATAAAAATTCCCCTTTTCTATTTATATCGACTGACTCAATTTTATAAGCATTTACCTTTGCTTTCCAATTCTACCCATTACTGTTTATTTGGCAATTCTTGAGAAGTAATACGTTTTGTTTTGTGGTGGAATATGGCCCTGAAAAGAGTCAATTACTAGTGCTGATTATGGTAATGAAACAAAAATCAAGAAAAACTTTAAAATGATGGCTCTTGGCCAAAATTACATAGAAGTTTAGAATGGAATATTTAGTTAAGGATTGAAAATGTTATTTTATAGTTTCAAATTATAGTTTATTGCATTATAGGAGAGAAATTCAATGAGCTAGTCAGGTTTGCAAATTTAAAGATTCTTTAAGAACACATAGACACAGGGAGGGGAACATCACACACTGAGGCCTGTTGGGGGTCGGGGGGCTAGGGGAGGGGTAGCATTAGGAGAAATACCTAATGTAGATGATGGGTTGATGGGTGCAGCAAACCAACATGGCACGTTTATACCTATGTAACAAACATGCACGTTCTACACAAGTACCCCAGAACTTAAAGCATAATAATAATAATAATACTTTAAGTCCTCAGGACATGCCCCTAAATTTGTTTAATTGTCTTGAGTTACAGGTCCTGTTTCTTGTATCTGGATTTTAAAATTCAATGGTCACATTCAAAACAAAATTTATCAGTAGTCATTGAGGTTGCATGATCTACTATATTGTATTGTATCTGGGAAAACATTCCTCAATACAGAATCATAACATTAAAGTCATTCCTTTTATCTACCCAGGCCTATTGTTCCTTCTCTGGTTGCCTGCTCAAAGCACTTAATCAATTCATCAAAGGGAATGAAATAAGCCATAAAGCATGGGGCTTTCTTAGAACAAAGACATGACCTAATTTTTCCAATGGGAAATGACCTGCGAAAATTCTTCTCAATGTAAGGAAGCTATAGTTCTCCTCAAACCTCTCAATTCTCAAAAATGACATCATCAATCAACAACTCTCTTTTCTAAACTGTGGCTGAAATATGCTGTAGAAGCTATTCATTTTATGTCATGTTATCAGCAGAAAGATTATTGAAAGAACTGTGCATTTTAGCTTCCAGAATTATAAGACTATTGAATTCCCTAGAATAAAGCCCCAAATCCATACTGAGGCCTATCAGATCCTTCATGGGATGTTGTCCTGTAATCTCCCCAGACGAGTCATTCTCTCCAACGTTGCTCATCTCAGCACAATTACCACTGCCATGTCCACACACAGCACACCCCCAACACACATAAATACACCCAAAAAATACATAAAACAAAACAACACACAAAAAAACTCACATGGTCTCAGGCTTTAGGTATAAGTTATCCTTTTTAACATTTTAGAAGTACCCCAATACAATAGATACTTCTTCCCGTTTATAGAAATTCTTTTGGAGTATTGGAGACCCTCCACCATCAGGAATTGACCTTGACTATTCTAATTCTTAAAGGGAATCAATGGATGCAATAATTTTGTTGACAAGTCCGTCTATGTACATTCTTCTTGGTATCTTCTGTGTTCTCTGCAAGTGGCCTACATGGCCTTCTAGGATCCTAGCTTGCTATGAAAGTGGGAAGGATTTTAAAGCTTATTTGGTGGAAACTGTATCTTTTGCTGTAGAATCCAAATCTAAAACAAATCTTGCATTAGTCTGCCATCCTGACATTTCTTGTAAAACATCTCAAACACCCTTTGAGGAACAGTAGTTTGAATCACTTAATTTCATCAGTTCACATCTAGTGTCCATGCCTATCTACATAATTTGCCAAGCCCAGTGCAAAATGAAAATGTGAGACCCCTGTTCAAAGAGCAGGAAAAAAGTAGATCTAAAAGCAAAAGTTCTACCTTAAAAGCTCTTTACCTTTACCTTTAAGTTCTACCTTAAAAATATGTTAATATTTTTAAGATGTTATAAGGGTAAAAGTGATAAATGAGTAACAACATAAACTTAGAAATTGAATAAACATTTTTGTGTTATAATTCTATATCATATAACAAAAATTAATTTTATTAGTATGATATATTGATTGTAGAAATCTTTTGGCTTGGTTTGCTGAAAACTTATTTTTAGGTCATTAAAATTATTCTTTTAGCAACTTCATTTTCAATTGACATAATGGAAAATGATATCTGGCACTCTTGGCAAATGCAATATCACAAATAATTTGATAATTTTTAATTTTGAGAAATATCTTTTTTCAGATGCTACTGCTACTAGAGCTGTTAATATTTTTTATAGACTCTGACAACATTGGGATAAAATTCAGATAAATTATTTCAGAATATAAATTTTAACACATCTAGAGCTAATGATTCTGTGGAACAATTTTTCAGAAAGATTTATTTCTTCAAAAAATAAGTCTGAATTTAGTTGCAAATGTAAATTTATACAATGGCATTTTAATATTTCTTCTGACATTTCTTGTAACTTGTGGTGTTTTTGCAAGAAATTGAGACTAGGCATAGTGGTTCATACCTGTAGTCCCAGCACTTAGTGAGACTGAGGTGAGAGGATTGCTTGAGCCCAAGAGTTTGAAGCCAGCCTGGATAACATAGTGAGGTCCCAGTTCTACAACAATTTTTAAACATTAGCTGGGTGTGGTGGCATGTGCCTGTGATCCCAGCTACCTGGGAGGCTGAGGCAGGAGGACTGCTTGAGCCTGGGAGGTTGAGGCAATAATGAACTGTGATCATACCACTGCACTCCAGTCTGGGCAGCAAAAGCAAGATTCTGAGTAAAAGAAAGAAAGAAAAGAAAGAAAGAAAGAGAGAGAGAGAGAGAGAGAGAGAGAGAGGGAGGGAGGGAGGGAGGGGGAGAGAGAGAGAGAGAGAGAGAGAAAGAAAGAAAGAAAGAAAGAAAGAAAGAAAGAAAGAAAGAAAGAAAGAAAGAAAGGGAAAGAAAAAGAAAGAAAGAAAGAAAGAAAGAAAGGAAGGAAGGAAGGAAGGGAGGGAGAGAGAGAGAAAGAAAGAGAAAGAAGAAAGAAAGAAAGAAAGAAAGAAAGAAAGAGAAAGAAAGAAAGAAAGAAAAGAAAGAAAGAAAGAAGGAAAGAAAGAAAGGAGAAGAGAGGAGAGGAGAGGAAAAGAAAAGAAAAAAGAAAAGAAAGGAAAAGGAAGGAAGGAAGGGGAAAGTTTCTTTATGATTTGTATATAGTACAAAATGTTTCTTTACATATTCTATCACTGTATCTTCAACTATAAAAAATTTTAAAAGTTGTTTTCCTCTCAATTGGTTCATCCACAGCTTTATATGAAAATAGTGTTGTTTTCCAATGACTATGACTATCTTTAAATTCATTTCTATTTCTAAGCCTATGGACACAGTATTTGCTTTGCAATGATTCAGCAGTTTTCAAAAGTAGAGGTTCTAAAATCTGAAGAATTCTAGTAACCCCATGATATATTTTTTGGACTATCCAGGTGTACACTTTTATCTCATAATAATTCACTGATCACATTTACAGCCTGGGTGCCAGCAGTTCCTGTCCCGATGCTCAGGCCTCAAAGATGCCACAGAGACAGGACTGGCTATGAGAAATGACTGGCAAGTTGGCTTCCCACCTGAGTCCCCTAGCTGTCCCCAGGCAGAGCCCTCCTCTTTTCTGGGTCCTGGAGTGCTGTCATCACTGCAGATGCATCTGTTCCTGATGCATTCATAGACACCACCAATGTGGACCCAGGTACCAGAATCAGCCAACCACTTGGGCTCCCATCGTGCCCTGACTGCCCCAGTGCATGTACACAACAGGGAGCCTGAGCAACTGCTCTGTACAAGCTTGCCTGAGCCCTCCTGTGCACATGCTGCGACTCAGTGTAACCCCTCTATTATTTCGCAGGCTCCAGGGTCCCTTAGGACTTCTCCTATAAAACACAAGTTTAAATACTTAAAAAGTTATGAAAAATTTGAAGATGGTGACAGCAGAGTACTAAACCAGACACAGGGCTCCTTTTGAGAGTTGAGCCCCATAGGCTTGCATCGGTCCATGCCCTTGAAGCTGGGCCTGCTAGTATCCTGAGTTACCCATCATTCCTTGTGCCTTTGCTCATCAGCAATTCCCAAACCGTGCTCTGCATGATGTGGTTTGGATCTATGTCCATGCCCAAATCTCATGTCAAATTGTAAGCCCCAGTGTTGGAAGTGGGACATGGTGGGAGGTGATTGGATCATGAAGACGGAGTTCTCGTGAATGGTTTAGCACCTCCCCACTTAGTACTGTGCAGTGGTACTGTAGACTGAGTGAGTTCTCATGAGATCTGGTTGTTTAAAAGTGTGTGGCACCTCCCCCATCTCTTTTCCTCCTGCTCCTGGCCATGTGAAGTGCCTGCTTCCCCTTTGCCTTCCACCATGACTGTAAGTTTCCTGAGGCCTTCCCAGAAACAGAAGCCGTATGCTTCCTGTACAGCCTGCAGAATCGTGAGTCGATTAAACCTCTTTTCTTATAAAGCACCCAGTCTCAGGTATTTCTTTAAAACAGTGTGAGAATGAACTAATACACTGCAGAACAGGTGTTCTGTGAAAAAGAGTGAGAAATGCTGCATTCTACGTTCCCCTCTGGGGGATTCAGAGTGCTTATTAGCAAATTATAGGATCTTGAAGTCCTGAATTAAACGCACGTAATTTCATGTAGTCCATCCTTTCTGAGGCTTTTCTGGCACCAGAATCCCAGTTACATCAAGCACCTCTGAATATCTTGGGGAAATATAGTGTTTAGAATAAAATTTGGAGAATGCTGTGCCAAGCTGTGGAGCAGACTCCATTCAAAATCTCCACAGGCTTTTTTTTGGCCCCTAACTCAAAGTAGCCATTCTATTTGAATTACTATCTTCATAAGGATGTAAGTAAACTGAGTCTATCAAGGC
This sequence comes from Homo sapiens, assembly GCF_000001405.40. Taxonomy (NCBI): domain Eukaryota; kingdom Metazoa; phylum Chordata; class Mammalia; order Primates; family Hominidae; genus Homo; species Homo sapiens. The sequence continues at coordinate 71,040,679 of NC_000012.12, forward strand.
TTAATATAATATATAAAAGTATAAGGAAATATATTTTGGCAATAATACAATTTTAATTCTTAAAAAATAATGTTTTATTCTAAAAATTACATACTAGTTACTGCCCATCTAAAGTAAAAATGATATAATTATCAGGTTATTTGTCTCCATAGAAAGAGTCATTTTTAATCTCACACAAAGTGTTTTTCTGTTAAGCATATTTACATAAAACAATTAAAATAGATGAGTAAGTGATGGGCCCATTGAACCTGTTCATGAGGATAATAAAACATTCAAGCTCACAATTTCATTGAAAAATGTTAAAACCTAAATCAGATTGTATTACAGCCACTTCTTATAATCTTCAATGGCTTCTTACTTCTCTGAGAAGAAAGTCCAAACTTCTTAAGATGGCCTACAAAGCCCTGCCTATTTTAAAAACCTCTACCTTCTCCATCTCATTTTGTACCATGCCTCTCCTCATTTACCATATATCAGTGTATTAGGTTGTCCTTACATTGCTATAAAGAAATACCTGAGATTGGGTAACTTACAAGGAAAAGAGATTTAATTGGCTCACTGTTCTGCAGGCTTTACAGGAAGCATGGCGTGGGCACCTGTTCAGCTTCTAGGGAGGCCTCAGGAAGCTTACAATCATGGCAGAAGGCAAAGGGGGAGCAGGCATGTCACACGGTGAAAGCAGGAACAAGAGAGAAAGGAGGGAGGAAATCCAACACATTTTTAAACGACCAGATCTTGCGAGAACTCACTCACTATCACAAAGTCAGCACCAAGCCATGAGGCATATGCCCCATGACCCAAACACCTCCCACCAGCCTCTGCCTCCAGCATTGGGGATTATAATTCAACATGAGATTCGGGCAGGGACAAATAACCATACTATATCAATCAGCCATCCTGGCTTTTACACATTCATTCCACACTATTTATTGAGTACCTGTAATGGGTCATAAACTTTTCCAGGTACTAGAACAATATGCAAAAGAAATAAGGACTATGACCTCAACAAAGCAAACAAATATGGAATGTATAATACAGTATCAGGTAGAACCAAGTGTGGAGACAGAGAGAGAAGTCAGAAAGCTCTTGCCTTGGGCCAAGTGAGGCACACCGGTGATTTATACCAAGGCAGCTGTGGTGGAGCTGTTGAAAAACAGCTATATTCAGGATATTTTAACTGCACAGCCAGTAGGATTTGCTGAGGGACTAAATGTGGATGTGAGAGCAAAAGAAGAGCTGAGGTTTAAAGGTTTTTTGGGCTGAGCAACCAAGTACATGGTGATGCTGAGATGGCAAATGCTAGGGAAGGAGCAGGCTTTTGGAGTAGAATCAAGATCTCTATTTTGTACTCGGTGAGTTTGAGCCATCTGTTAGACATCCAGAAGATGTCAGATTGACAACTAGATGGATGACAGTGGGTTTCATGTGGAGGCAGGAAAATGGACTCAAAAATTTAAAAGTAATCTACTACCTCTTAGCCCCTCAAATGCACCAGTCTCTGCCTCTAGTCCTTTGCACATGCTGTTCTCTCTGTCTGGACCCCTTCCCCGTGTCCCTCCTTTTATTTCTTCCATTAATTTTTCAGATTTTTGCTTAAATGTCACTTACCCCTGGAAGCCTAGATTCCCCAGACCAGGTTAGACCTCTTTGTCATATAATCTCCTTATAAGTTTTCCATCATAGTATAGATCACCACTGGTATCAAATAAGATTTTTCTGATTAATATTTGTCTAGCCTGTGTCAACAGTATTACAGCAATAATGTCTATCTTATTCACTTTTAATTACCAGCACCTGCAGCAGTGTCTATATGTAGCAAACACTTAGTAAATATTTGTGGAATGAAAGAATAAGTGAATGAATGAATAAGTTCTGGTAGACCTATTTCTTTATTGCCACTTCATTGCCCCTCCACCCTCTCTTGTTTTCCCAGCATATGAAGACATATCTGCTTACTGCCAGCTGCACCTGAAGGTTACTCTCAAATACATATTTTTAAATCTTGTGAAGATATTACTAACTGGGAGTACAGAAGCCAAATGTTCAGAGTTGATTTTATGTCCAGAATTGCATGTAGGGTCCAATTTTTTTAAATGACTGATAGAATTGTTTTTGAGAAAACAAAAGTGTTCATTGATGCCAAGAAATAATCAGAGAGAGAGATTACTTCAGTGTGTCTTTTTACCATAAAAGTAAATTATGAAACTGAACCATCAACCATATAAAAGCCTTCTCACCAACTGAGTACAGATCTGTTTTTCTGCTTCATTGCAATAAATTATAGATAGAAAGTTCAAAGACTTATTTATCAAGTAATGTTTAATTTACTACCTTGCCTTAGCTGGGGGAGAAGTGTTCAGCTAGAGAACTAAGGCATTTGAAAGGTAATTAGCTCTTTAAAAATCTGTTATCAGATCTACCTTTTTCCTATCATCAGATTAAGAAAGGATCCAGAAAAAACAACCTTATTCATCCAATTCGAATATAAGCCTATTTCAGGTAAAAGTATTTAAATAAATATTCCTGCCATCCCACTTCAGTGCCCCCATCTTTTATCTGAATGAGTTGTTATGTCCTTTAAATTTTAAACAAAGCTCTGGAGAAATCTTAAAGTAGCTTATAAAATCATAGGCCACAATAAAGTTGGTATAGATCTCCTTCAGTGTTTGTTTTAAAATAATAAAAAGAATAAAAACTTAGAACACCCCACAAGAACACTACTACTGACATTTACTCTTGGGGAAGACAAAGCTACGAGGAGTTAATTGGATAATCCCAAACTTATTGTTTCTTTTTCTGTTTTTCTAATTTAAGACTAATATTGTTCTAAGATACACCTAAAGTCACTGAAAGATAGATCATTTAGGATGAGGTTGTTTTTGCCATATGACATGATTTCAGGTAGAAATAATATCATGTTGCATCCAAGTGAATAGAACATTAGCGAAGTTACTCCTCAGATACTGGATAGCTGGGAAACCATAACTGAATGGTTTCAAATTTAACTTTTTTCTAGGAATCTTGAACCTGAAACTTAGAGAGTTTATATATTATTTACATTGCCTTCATTAGTTGACAGACATTAATGAACAAATTAAAGCCAAACTGAAGCTCTATGAGTCCAGAGTTCACAAATGCCATGTTCATTGCTGTATTTCTAAGGCCCAGCACTGTGCCAGGTGCTCAGTGCATGCTCAATGAATAGCAGTTATTCACACAAAGAAAATCTGGGGAAAATATAAATGATGGTTGAGGGCAACTATAAAACCACATACTTTTAAACAAATTAACCAGTTAACTTGCATTCGGATCTCAAAATTTGTTTATTTTGAATGAGATTTTACAAAGTTACTATATCATTCTCAGCTTCTAGGAATAATACCCAAGTTCTCTTTCAAATCTAAACATCTTTTATATTAGGTACCACTTTCTGCAAATCTCTCATTGAATTTTACAGGACTAAAATGTTAAAACAGCAATACAAGTTTACTGTGTCAAGTTAAAAAAAAATAGTGATCTTCCTCTTCTCTTCTTCCTGCCTTACTCCTAAAGTGACAGTGTTAATGCTTGGGTGTAAATCCTTCCACTCATACCTGTAATTAAACCTGTATATACTTCTCCCTAGATCACTGCCTCTCCAGCCCAAATGTGGAACACACATGCACCTTACCACCCTTCTCACCTTACCACCCACTCCTTCTCTGCTTAATTCCTACTCTTCTTTCAGACGTCGCCTCAACCATCAACTCCTCTAAAAATCCCAACACCTCCCTAAATTCCCCCTTGTAATGGGAACAATAGAGTCTGTTCATCAGACTCTATGGTCTCACTCTAGTGTGGTGTTATGAAGGCACAGCTAGGAACTACATTGCCCAGCCCCCTGTTGCACTTAGGTGTGCCCATGTGACTAAGCTCTTTTATGTGCAAGTGAAAGGACTGGAATTTATCTTCCCCCAGTCCTCATGTCCATCTCTCAAACTCATATATCTTTGGGGAGTCACAATTATTCCTTCATAAATTTCCACCAATTTTTTGGGATAGCTCTGAAGCACTGTTGCTTTCATGTACCCAGCATTCATGCCCTCTTGTTCTGATAACCCTGATTTTCACTTGAAAAAATGCCTATTCTTCACTCTGAGTCCTGTGATTTGCATGGACCTGACTCTACCCTTTACATTCCAGGGAAGCGGCACATGACCTAAGCCTCACCGATCAGTCTACTTCATTTGTCTGGCAACAATAATAATGTGTAGGCACTTCACCAAAGTTGCTCCCGCAAGAGGAAGCCCTGAGAGTTTTGCTGGAAATTCTTTGGAATATATACTCTTTTGTTGCTACTCTTACTCTGGTGGTATAGCCTAAATATGGAGCTACCAATGGTTATCTTTGCTACAACATGGATAGAGTCTTTCTTGAGATTAGCCCAACTGATAGGAAGGCAGAGTCAAAATAATATAGAAAGACTGATACCTGGTAGATCGTTTGAATACCTGATCAGCCTAAACCTAGTGCTACTTTTTACTCTGCAGTTGACTGAGGCCAGTAAATTCTCATTTGTGTTTTAAGTCAGCTTCAGTAGAGTTTCTGTCAGTTGGTACTGGGAATCCTTAGAGATATATACCCCTTATCAGTAAGATCCCCAAACTCTTTGATTTTACCTTATTGAGCACAGATACCACATTCTATCTTGTTTACCCTCTTTCCCAAGGTTTTAAGTTCCATGAGGGTAAGGATGCCTTACCATTATTTCTTGTGTCTCACAGTGCCTTAGCACAGTGCCTAATACTTAATAAATTTTGAAAGACTATATGGACAAAACAGATTCAATGGTACCCAGGGGACTGACTGAGGAAGGTGAAGACATAGTTCCTTTCCTCAAGGAGTTTATAAATTACAATGAATTATTCCCAGATGGAGGTATATTTATCCTAATTCATCAGCCCCAGCTATGAATTTGAGGAACTGTAAGTTACATGCTCCTATTGGATGGTTCTACAAATAGGTCTACTATAAATGATAATAACTCCATTCACCCTTAGATGTTTCCATCACTTTGTCTTTTGTGGGCTGCCTTGCCTGCTTAGCCTGAATTCTCTTCAAACATCCTTCCAGTCACATAATATTAATTCACTAGCATCAGAGAAGGGCTTCAGGGGAAGGGAGAGTGAAAGAGCAGAGAGGACAGAAGACAGAGGAAAGTGAAACCACATAAAATGGGCACAGTACCAAAAACATTTTTGAAGTCTCTGGTGAAGCTTTTTCTGGCATCACTACACAACAACAGCACATCATTTTCATTAACTTGAACAAACAAAACCAAGCAGAGATTAAAAAGCAGCACAGATGTGATATGACTCTCTTCTCCTGTCCTGGACTGGACAGCCTTGTGGAGTCACTTCCCTTAACAAGGCAGGAAATGTTCTTTCAGCCTGCCCCCGGAAAAACAGCACATGGCACCAAGATACAACCACAAATACACAACTCTGGGCTGGGTCACTTGTTCTCATTCTGCTCCTTCCCACAAGGCTCCTTTCTGATGACTGATATGATCCTGGCATTCTCTCCTCCATCTCTCACCTTTTTATTCCTTTTGGTGCTGACCTTCATGGTGTACCCCATACCTGAAAATATCTTGCTCCCTTAGGGCTAAGCAACTTTCCCTCCTTCCTCTCTTATCAAACTCTTCCTTTATCTGAGCCTTCCAAGGCTGATCTCATTGCAAACTATGTTTGAACAACATGACTAGCTTTTATATTATCTCATGAATCATGACCATCTGAATTCCATTTCCATTTCCTTGGAGAAAAGCCCAGTCTGGTATGTGTTCCACATAGCCCAACATGAAGAGATGGCACTCAATAAATAACACATTGTGATGATATCAATACCATGAACATATACTGCAGAAATATTTCACAATGAATGAATGACTGTTGGGCCCTTGGTCCAGGAACTGAACTTTTCTGGCCACCATGGGCTTTGGTCTGAGGGTATCTTACCTGCTGTGTATCAGTGGCTTCCCGACTGTCAGAAGTAGCAAATGGTTCTTTAGGGTTCCCAGAACTAAAGGGTGAATAGAATAACAAAAAACATGCAAAGAACCTTAGTGATATTATTTTCCTGGTGAGAATAAGAGCATTTTAGGAATTGCAATGTTCATATAGCCAAATCCAGAGCTTCCCTATCCCCAGAGATTTCCTCCGGATTAATCCAGCGCAAGCCATAGGAATCAGCTTCATTAAAGAGAAGATCTTACCAGCATGCATTCAAAGTAAGATAAACATGTTCCATGTGATCCAGGATTTTTCCTGACCCCTTCGTTGGACTTGCAATGGGGGCACCCTATTTACTTGGGCCATTGCACTCAACTCCTTCTGGGAGGGAGCATGTGAGAAAGTGAGTGCAGGGTCTGGCCAGCTGCTTTGGGCAACAACAAAAGCAAACTCCATGCAGGCCCTGCAGCAGGGTGCCTGCGACCCCAAAGCCTCAGAAGGCATGTTACAATGCTCCCTTAGCTCTGCTGTTTGTGGACAAACAGCTCAGTGGTGTGTTTGTGATGTGTTATCAGCTCAGTGGGCCCCTTGCCTCCTCACATGGGGTGACTGCCCTCTGCCATCAAGATCAAAGGACCAGTGTGACAGTCTTTTTTGGGTACCCACACTCATTAGGTCCCCAGCTCTTGTCCGGCATCCAAGAAGAATGAAGTCGCCCAGACACTTGAAGGATGGTGGAAGTGGAGAATTTTATTTAGCAATGGAAATGGCTCTAGTGGAGAGGAGAGCTGGAGAGGGGACAGGACAGGCAGGTAATCTTCCCCCAAAGTTCAGCTGTCTCAGGTCAGCTCTTCCCTGAAGTCAAGCAGTCTCTCCAAAGTCAAGTTGTCTCTCCTCCAAAGTCCTGCCATCCCTCTGAAGTCAAGTCACCTCTGTCCAGTCAAGCTGCTTCTCTTCCCTCTACCGAGTCTGGAGTCTTTATAGGCACAGGAGGGAGGGCAGGGCAGGCTGTAGGTAGTTTTGGAAAAGGCAATATTAGATTGGCAAAAAGGCATTATTCAGTAAGAACCAATTGGGAGAGAGTGGGCAAACAGGAATAGAAGATCTCACTTTGGGCTGTGGGTTTCAGGTTTCTCAGCTTAAAGGTGGGGTTTCACCTGGGACTCACTGCTGTTTGTCTCCTGCATGTATCACATGGAGTGGCAACCTGTGCACTTAGGACATAGTAGGACATACTCTACTTCCACTACCCACATAAAGAAAGAGAAAGAAAGTAGAAATAACATCTAAATACTGCATGCGATTCCGCCAGCCTTGCACTCAATGAGCCTGTGTCCCTGTAATGGAGTCCAGACTGGCTCCTTCTCAAGTTGGCCTCCGGGCCTGCATTCCACCCTGGAAGTATCCCTCCACACTGTGTCTGACTTTAGGATTTAGAGATACATATTTCTTCATATGCATGACTTCTAAGTAAAAGCCACTTCTTTTATCTGGTGCTCATCAAAAGAATCAAAATGATCTGCTCCTAACCTGGGGGAAAACATGACTGTTGCTTGAATTGCTGAGAGATGTTATTAGTATTCAACATCTCAGGGGATCTTCAAGGTATTTCAACGATGTATAATGGTGATAATACTCACCAATGTTAGACTATAACCCCTAATAATGCTAGACTATACCCCCCAATAAAATGGAGGAATAATCCAAGTAATGGAAGATAATGTGTGTATTGGTGATGGGGTAAGGTGTACTCTCTGCTACTAAGAGGGGGACAACTAAAAATATCTTTGAGAGAGAGATAAATTTAGGATTTATACCCTTCTTGAGTGGGTGGCTTAATGGCATCAAGTGAATTCCAGCTTTTTCTCAGGTTCTTATCCCTCCCTTGTATACAACAATAGCCAGCCATCAAAGGATAGTCCCTGTTATGTGCATATACTCTCCTAGACAGAGAATATAGATGTGAATAAAGCAAAGTATCTACCTTCGAGGAGCTTCAGGTCCAAAGGAGAAAGATAGAAAATAGAAGCAATAAATAAATAAGATCATTTCAACTTCTGATAAATGCTATGAACAAAATAAAAAACTGTATTTTATTAATTTTAAAATGTATTTTTTTCACATTTTACCATTTCTGAGATCTCGAAGCATCTTGCAATCTGATAGCAACTTTTATCTGAATTTAATTAGCAGCATTTTTTTTCTTTCTTTGTAATACATAAAATAATTGTTTACAACTGATGACAAATTCCATTCAATGAAAATGATACAAAATGTGGGAGACACTAACTACTGTATCTTTGCAGATCCATTTTTAATATCCATGCTGAGGTGACAAATTAATAAGATGACAGGGAGATATTTCAAATTTTTATAAATATGTTTACTTTCTTTTAGACAGGGGGATATTTCAAATTTTTATAAATATGTTTACTTTCTTTTAGCCTAACTTCTTTTAGTTGTTGACATATTTCTTTCCAACATGAACTAAATTTACACTAATTTAATTTATCCTTGAAATTCCTACATTGTCCCTTACACATATATAAAAACTACTGCTCCAGCAAGATTATCTTTCCTTACCTTTTTACAGTTTATGTTTCAAATTTTCCATCTCATCTTTTCATTTACTTTTTTTTTAATCTCCACCTCACTTTTCTCCATTCATTTTTGTTAGGCAGTGGTTGCTTCCTCCAGCCTTTCATCAGTATGTCTCTCCTTCTCATAGACTTGCACACAAATCTTACCTGTCTGTGGTTTCAATCCGCTTTTATTAATCCCTGCCAATTTTCCTCCCTGCTACCTGTGTTTCCTGAGGTCTGATGCCCACCGACCTCACGTTGCTGAAGTTCTACTGTGTATTCCCTTAGAGTGTCAGGTTTTCCTTTGGGACTCACCTTCAAACATGTACGCAACATGTTGGGCTTTAGCATTGTCCTTCATTTTTAAGTCTCATTTTACTTTTGGCAACTGAAATGATGGTTAGGAGAACTCTTTTTTTCTTCTAATGTTTCCATGTGGGAGCCTCTACACCCAGGCAGGAAGGGTATTGAGGTAACATGTCCAACCCTCCTTCTCCCAAGTCCATCTCTCCCTCCCTCCTCACCAAGGGAGAAGAAATTACTTATCCAGCTAGTAAATCTGGAGCAAGAACTAAGCATGCTCAGTTCTGCCCTTCTGTATTTCCTCTAGATGTCCCTGTGGAGAGGCTTTCTTGGCTTTGTTCCTAAGGCAGCCCCTGACCTCTATGGGGGGAAAGAGGCTGTGACCCAGGGGTTAAGTATGTCAAGTATTGGGAATCCATGTAGGTGCTATCTGAACTGCTTGGGAATCGAGTATTGGGAAGTGAGTGCTGGGAATCCATGTAGGTGCTATCTCAACTGCTTCCACCAATCCACCTTTACAAGTGTAGCTGATGTTTTGATGCCTATCTGACACCTGAGCTTTACTTTTCTATTGGCTCAGAAATAGTGAGAGCGGCAGGAGGCAGCCAAATGCCTAGGCAGGTAGGGGCAGGTCCTTGGTGAAACCCCACCTCCAAGCCAAAGGCAGTTTAAAGCCTGAAATCCAAGCTCAAACCGGATTGAGAACTTGTCTTCCCATTTGACATGCTTTCCTCTAATTGATCCCTACCCTTCACTTATTTTACATATACCTGCCCTTTCCTAATTGGTTTTCTACAGTGTCGTGCCCCACCTTTGAGTGGTGTCTTCACTTTAACCTTTTTTGCATACTCACAAACCAATCAGCATGCACTCCCCATTTTGAGTCCATAAAAGGCCACAAAAGGCTGTTCTGTTACTCAATAAAATTCTTCTCCGCCCTCCTCACCCTTCAATGTCCAGCATATCCTTATTCTTCTTGGGCACAATACAAGAGCTCAGGAACCACTGAACACACGTACAAGTTATAACACCAGTGAGCTGGGGCACACAAGCGTGGTGGAGCGAGGCCTGGGTGAAGCATCACTGCCTGGGGGTGCTGGCTTGCAAAATGACTGAGAAGCAAAATCGTACATCAACAGGGCAAATAAAAGAGAGAATTTGTTTTAGTGGTCTCCAAACATCCCCTCCGTACTATCAAGAGATATAAGAAAACAAATGGCATAATCAGAAGATGGGATTTAAAAAAATCAGAGGTGTTTAAAAATAAAATTGGCTACCTGAGGGTATAGTGGGCCCCCATTTCTGGAGATGCCCAGCCGTAAGGAAGGGAAAGGTAAGGTAAAGTTTATTACACTTCTGCTACATATTATAATTTTTTTTTTTTTTTGAGATGATGTCTCATTCTGTACCAGGCTGGAGTGCAGTGGCATGATCTCGGCTGAACTGCAACCCTGCTTCCTAGGTTCAAGTGATTCTTCTGCCTCAGCCACCTGAGTAGCTGGGACCACAGGTGCGTGCCACTACACCCAGTTAATTTTTTGTATTTTCTTAGTAGGGATGGGGTTTTGCCAAGTTGGCCATGCTGGTCTCAAACTCCTGGCCTCAAGTGACCTACCCACCTCGGCCTCCCAAAATGTTAGGATTATACTAGAAATTTTTGTGTGCATTTCTTCCATTTAATACTTACAACTGCCCCTGGAGTTGGATGGTATTAGACTGTTTTCATGGTTGACATAACTGAGGCCCACAGACCTTAGTCACTGACTGTAGATACCATAGATGATAAAGAAAACAAGATTGTATTTGTCAGCTTGGGCTGCCATAACAAAATGTCACAGACTGGGTGGCTTAAACAACAGAAGTGTATTTTTTCATAGTTTGGAAGCTAGACGTCTATAACCAAGGCTACAGTCAATTGAGTTTCTGGTGAGGGCTCTCTTCTCTTCTGGCTTGCTGTGTCCTCACATGGCCTTTCCTAAGTGAGTTCATTGTGTGAAGATGAGGACATGTAGAGGGACAAGACAAGCTCTCTGGTGTATTTTCTTATAAGGACACTAATCTTATTAAATCAGAGCCCCATCCTTATTACTTCACTTACTTAAATACTTTCTTAGCAACCCCATCTCTAAAAACAGCCAACACTAGGGGTTAAGTTTCAATATATAAATTTCAGGAAGAGAACACAAGCATTCAGTCCATAACAAAGATTCAGCTGAAGTCTATCAGATTCCAAAACTCATATATATGTCCTCTTTATCACGGTCACTTATGCTTTAGGCTGATGACTGCTAAGTAGTATGAGACCCCAGGACCTCCAACAAAGCCATTACTGTAGATACAGAAGTTCACTCCCTTTTCTAAATCAACTTAAAATTATGTAAAAAAATTACTTACATACAAAGCAAAACTCAAATTAATAAAAATAAATATACAGGTACCTGAATGAAGAAGGAACCCATAATCTAAGCTGGAAATAGGAACTGAGGCTCCCTCAGGAGGTCCTGGAACTGAATAGAGACCTGGGGTTCAGAGTTCTAAACCTGTCCAGAAAACAGGATCCCAGCTGTAAGCTTCGTGCACAGCATGGAGATTGGGAAATCTCTACAGGCTATCCCATGGTTGCCGCATAAAGAGAAATTTTCATCTAGAGTTATGAATGGAAACAGAAAAGCTCACCAAAACCAAAAACCAAATGGAACCACAAGCCATACTTTGCAGAAGTACAGAGCCAAATATTCACTATCCATGCAATATTAGAAACACTAAACCAAGGCACCAGCATGAAAATGTAGCCTGCAAATGTGGCGCATCTAAGAACTGTTCCATAACATCACATCCACATTCTGTGCCTCCGCTGATGGAGAACTACACACAAAATTACAGAACACGTCATTGCACATGGTCATCAGTATGTAAAAGAAATGGAAGAGCTCACCACCAAGGAACTGGAGGTTTTAAGTACTATGAAAGGGACTTTAAATAAATGAATTTACAAAGGGATAGAATCCTTAAAAACACAGAAAGGACAGAGGAGGAAAGAGAGAAAGATAAGAAGGAGGAGAAGAAGAGGAAGGAAGAAAAAAGATGATTTGGGAAAAAAAACAGGTAGAAATTCTAGAAATTAAAAAATACAATATACTAGATGAGAAATTTTAGGGTGGAAAGGAGGGGGGGTGAAATGGTTCAAATAAGCTGAAAGTTTCTTCTAAGTCTGTGCCTCTCTTTTCATTTCATGATAGAGAAATCCCAGGTCCAAACAAACCTGTATCTCAATAAGTGAATCTAATTTCCTAGTTCCAGGAGCCCAAGAACATGTTTGTATCCAATGGACTGACTATGGAGAATATGTTCATTTGCTGACATGATCCCCACCCAGATTTAATTCAATCTTGCCTCATTCCCTTGATGATCTCCTTTTTCTCCTTGGAAAGCCCTTAGAACCTGAAAACTTGTAATGCCTCTGAATGTGCAGGGCAGTGGCCTAGCATCCTTTGACCCCTTTGTCATAAAAGCCCTGTTGCCCTCTGCAAGAGTCAGTGCAAATTTTCCCCTAGCAAGAATATTTTCCAATATTCAGTTAACCATGTAGGGTAGTCTCACACTACAAGAGGTTGAGCTCAGGTGCTTTCCACATGTGATTACTTCAAAGAGCATTTCCCCATTTTTTAAAACTGAATTAGTTAATAAGTAAGCACAATTCCTCTCTTCCTTATTCTCTGTGGATTAATTCCCTTTAATTAATTCTCTTTTCACTCAAAAAAATGTTACTTGTAAATTTTCTCGTCCAAATTGTATTTGTTTTGAATTTGCAATTTCAAATGAAAGCAACGAGAAAAGTGAGTTTCCGAGGAAAGTACACTGAAAGAACCAGCTGAAAGAAACTCAAAAGCTTTTTAGCAATGTCTTTTTTTCTGAAAAGGGAGTAAGCTAAGGGATGATGTAGAGATAACAGTGCAGAACCAAACTATTAACAAGAAAGCCATTGTGGGAGTAAATATAATGGCTGAGAAACTCGGGATAAGGGCATCTCCCACAGCCTAAACAAGCCCATTGCTAATTATGTCTGTGTCCCCAACCCCTCATGAGTATATAGAAGTGTGCTTGTAAATTGTTGTTAGTTGCTTTCCGGCAAGAGACTAATTTATTGGAAACCCCTTCTGGAACAAGTTTTACGTAGTACCTTTTCCCCTTCTTTCTTCTGCTTTAGGTATTCTAGACAGACCTTGAAACCTCTGAGGAGTGTTTGAATCCTACTTATTTCTCCCTCCCCTGGAACAGATGCTGGCCTAGGTCTATATAAATCCAGGATGTATATAAGCTCACAAAGATCTAAACATAATCATGGAGTTCACAGTTATCCTAGAGCTTAAAAATGTAGTCAGAGGGCTGTACCCCTGAAAATTCTGAAAGACTGATATTTTCTGTAGGTTTATTTTTATTTTTATTTTATTTATTTATTTATTTTTGAGACACAGTTTTATTCTTGTCAGTGGCGCTATCTCGACTCACTGCAAAGTCTGCCGCCTGGGTTCAAGCGATTGTCCTGCCTCAGCCTCCCAAGTATCAGGGATTACAGGTGCCCAACACCACTCCCGGCTAATGTTTGTATTTTTAGTAGAGACAGGGTTTCACCACTTTGGCCAGGCTTGTCTCCATCTCCTGACCTCAAGTGATCTGCCCACCCTGGCCTCCCAAAGTGCTGGGATTACAGGCTTGAGCCACCGCGCCAGGCCTGTTGTACTTTTTAATACACTAGCCTTCTGGGAAAATTTTATTTTAAAAGTCTTGTATCTTGTAAAAATGAGGATTTCATTGAATGTCTTTAAGTCCAAACATCTGGAGCTTCTCTGGCTGGAGAAATGAATGGGAGAGGTAACATTCACCAGCTCGTTCATTCAACACGTTTGTTTCCATGGGAGACAACATGTAAGAGCATGGATTTCTTTGAAATCTCACAAGGCTGCATCCCAATTTCATATCACCCTGGCAAGTACCATCCCTGATCTCTGAGACTCAGATTTTACTTGTAGTGATAGCATTATCTCACAATAATCCTTTCCTTTTTATATTATTATTATCCACTTTTATGTATAGAAAAAAATAAGGTTCAAAAGAAACCACTCAGTGATGGTTTTAGGGAGGAAGTTAGAATTGAGTTCTGTCTTGACTGATAAATAGAATAAAAAGAAAAGGCTTGCCAGAACTGCACATTATGAGCCAGAGCCCAAAGATAAAAGCCAAGAAAGTATGTTGGGGCCGTTAGACCACCCTTGCTGGCACAGAGAGCTCGTCTAGAAGAGGAGATCTCAGCATTTAATATGTATGAGAATTATTTGGAGAGAGTAAATTTCATTTTTAATAAGTACCCATTTGTTTTATTGTTGTGTACATGACCTAAGAAGCATACCTTAAGAAAGAATAGTGATAATAACAGGAAATAAGAATGGAATATAGATGATGGAACTCTTGAATATCAGACTAAGGAGTTTGGACTCAATCCCAAAGATGAAGTGAAATCTACTAAATATTTCTGAACAGGAGAGTGACATATGCCAGGCATTTATTTTTAAACATGGCAACTCCTGTGCGGTACCTCTATTTTTCAGAGATGATATGGTCTGAAACTTTCTGAGCACAAAGAAAAGAGCTGAAGTTAGTATTTTCTCAGACTCATGGTCAAATCTAGCTTCTCTAAATCTCTGGTTACCTTAAAACGTGTTTACAAAGTGCCTAAAACCGAATTAAAAATTGAATAGATCTTGATGCTGTGAACACTTGGAGACAGGAGACATAATTAAAATGTTACTTTTCAAGTAACTATTTCCTCATAATTTTGCATTTCTTTTTCTTTAATTTTTTCTTTTTTTTTTTTTTCAGTAGAGATGGGGTTTCATCATGTTGGCCAGGCTGGTCTCGAACTCCTGACCTCAGGTGATCCACCCGCCTCGGCCTCCCAAAGTGCAGGGATTACAGGCATGAGCCACCACGCCCGGTTTTTTTTTTTTTTTTTTTTTTTTTCAAGAAACAGAGTCTCATTCTGTCATTCTGTCGCCCAGGCTGGAGTGCAATAGCACGCAATCACAGCGCACTGTAACCTTGAACTCCTGGGCTCAAGGGATTCTCCCATCTCAGCTTTCTGGGTAGTTGGGACTACAGGCATGTGCCATAATGTCTCTCTGGGTTTGGTTTTGTTTCGTTTTGTTTTGGTAGAGATGGGGTCTCTCTTGCCCAGACTGTTCCCAAACTCCGGCCTCAAGTGACTTTTCCACTTCAACCTCTCGAAGTGCTGGGATTACAGGCATGAGTCATCGCATCTGGTCCACATTTCTTCTTTTTCTTTTTATTTTTTCTAATTTGAAGAGGTCTTTATCAAGCACAGACAGTGACAGTCTTTTTGATTTATCTTGTGGATATAGACATTATGTTCAGAGCTTGAAATTCACACCCAAGAAAAATGTCAGGCATGATTAAAAGCAATAATAGTCTCCACAAGCCACTCATGAATACCAATCTTATGACTTAAAGAATCCCTTTATAAAATGCTATGAAAAATACATATGAGGAAAAATATTTATTATATGTTTCTTGACCACTCAAAGAAACACAATATATAATACTACAATATTGTACTTCTTTATTCATGAAATTTAAAAGTGATGGTGCTTCAATTCTGACAGAAAAGCCTAAACATACATGGTAACTGAGTTACTCATATCACATTTAAGTCATTTTAACCCTAGTTAGAGCACGTAAAGCCCCCACTGATCTCTTCTATATGAGGCTCTTGGTTAATTTGGACCTCACTCCTCATTTCTTGATTTAGTTTCTTTCCATAATAAGTCCCAGAACAATGCTGCTGGGTCATGTGCCTTGATGTTAAATTGATGATCACCATAGGTCAAAAGCCCGTCGAAGAAAGCAAGCAAATTTTGCTGATGAAGTCACATAAGTTGATGAAATCCATAAAGCCAGCTGTTCTTCTAGTCAAGTCAACCAAAATTTCCTTCAGAGTGACCCTCAATTTTTTTATCCTATGGTATTGCTGGCAGCCCAAGTTTTGTGCTTTGGTGTGTGTTTATAAAGCTTCCTGTGTGAATTTAAGGAAAATTTTGGAGAAATGAACTTAATAAGGTATTGATTATGTGGATGAAGTCTATATGGTTTCATAAGAAAATTCTTGACTGAAATGAAAATCTTTGTTCCTTCATTACTTGTTTTTATGTCCTCATATTTGCCTGTTAGTATCAAGATTTCATATCTTTCTTTTTTCGACCTTCCCACAAACCAGTAAAAACTGCTTTGCTACACAAGAAAGAAAAAGGGACCAAGAGTAAAGCCAGATGCACAAACATTGAGCACACACTCATGAGCTGTCTTTGGTCTTATCTCTACAGAATATACTTTTCTAAATGTTTCAAAGACTGCATAATAGCATCCCACACATACATCGATGTTCAATATTTGAGGATGATGTTTCCATCACAGCTAGGAGAGTGACAGGCAGAACTTTCAACAGTAGTTTGTCCAATCCAAAATTGATATAAATTGTACAATTTGTAAAGATATTTTGGAAGAATGCCCAGTGGACTAGTGAGATTTCACTCCACTTAACTCTTAACCTCAACTCTCTTTACCTGTAGAATTTAATGTAGTGTCAGTTTGAAAATGGAATGGAATTCTTATTTTCTTTCAGAAAGAGAAATATTGTGACTCTTAAACCCACCTAATTTTAGAAATATAAAGTTATTCAGCCTACAGGGAGACTAGAAGAGTCCAGAGATGGATCATACGGTATTTCCTGCCTTTTTTTCTTCAGAATAATTTAAACTTGTGGATATTGCACCTGGAAATGCTTTTCCCACTAAGCAGTCTGAAAAGACCATGAAGTTGGTATTACCAATTTGCTGGCGGACTCTGAACTGAAGTGGCATTTCACACATAATGTAACAGTCTTTCCTTAATTCAAAACCTCCAAGCAGGGTTGGCAATAGGCCAACACATCTGCTACATATCCCTGTGTATATCATCACCATCTAAATAGAGATGCATTTTGAAACTTCAACATTTTAGAATAATTTTTTCTTCATTTCTTCTTTAGAGAATTTAAAATTATTTCTTTGTTATTTTATTTCCAGATTGTCAGACTGTAGCCTTTGCACAATTTGATATTTTTAATAATCATTAATAAAATATCTAGATAAAACATCTATATTGCTGTGCTTTGTTTCATGCACTATGAGATGCTGAGAATGTTATGAAAAGATTTATTTTTAAAATGCTATATCAGAATGAAAATATCCTTTGAAGTCTAAAGTAAATTGTTTTGATTTTCTTTTCACAACAGATTTTCTTCATGCTACATGAATTCCAGAGACTATCTTTTCTTTCTTGTGCTCAACAAATTATTTTTATGTGCCTCTAAAGTTTTGAAGTGGATCTTTTAACAATATGTTTAGATCCCCTCCTTCAAATCAATAGGAAAAAGACAGACAACTCATTAGAAAAATGGGCAAAAGACCTGAACAGACATTTCACAAAAGAGGATTTCCAAATGTCCAATAACCATAAACATAAAAATGTGCTTACATTAGCCATCAGGAAAAAAACGTGAATTAAAACTATAGTGAAATACCAGTTGATATGGTTTGGCTCTGTGTCCCCACCCAAATCTCATCTTGCAGCTCCCATAATTCCCACATGTTATGGGAGGCACCTGGTGGGAGATGATTGAATTATGGGGGCAGGTCTTTCCCGTGCTGTTCCCATGATAGTGAATGGGTCTCATGAGATCTGATGGTTTTAAAAATGGGGGTTTCCCTGCATAAGTCTCTCTCTCTTGCCTACTGCCATGTAAGAAGTGCCTTTCACCTTCCACCATGATCATGAGGCCTCCCCAGCCACTGAGAGTCCAATAAATGTATTTCTTTTATAAATTGCACAGTCTTGGATATGTCTTTATCAGCAGCATGAAAACAGACTAATACACCAGTGTACAACTCATTAGTATGGCTAAAATGGACAAGACAGACAATACAAGTATTGCAATCATGTGGAGCAAACAGGACCTTCATATTGCTGATGGGAAAGTAAATAGGTACAGCCACTTTATAAAGCAGTCTGGCTGTTTTCTAAAGCTGGATATGTGCATTCCCTATAACTCAACAAGATCCTAGCTGGGCATGTGCCGCCTAACAAAAATACCTTCATGTGTTCACCAAAATACAGGTAACAAAATGTTCTTAAAAGTACTATTTGTAGTGGCCAGGCATGGTGGCTCACGCCTGTAATCCCAGCACTTTAGGAGGCCGAGGCGGGCAGATCATGAGGTCAGGAGATCGAGACTATCCTGGCTAACGCGGTGAAAACCCCGTCCTCTACTAAAAATACAAAAAAATTAGCCGGGCATGGTGATGGGCGCCTGTAGTCCCAGCTGCTTGGGAGGCTGAGACAGGAGAAGGGCATGAACCCAGGAGGCGGAGCTTGCAGTGAGCCAAGATCCCGCCACTGCACCCCAGCCTGGGCAACAGAGCGAGACTCTGTCTCAAAAAACAAAACAAAAAACAAACAAACAAAAAAACCCAAACAAACAAAAAAACCCAAACAAACAAAAAGGTACTATTTGTAGTAGTCAAAAACTGGAAGTTAACCAACTGTTTTCAATAGTAGAATGAATAAGTTATAAACAATGGGATTCTACCAGCAATGGAATGAATAGTCTTCAACTACATGCGATATGGATGAACCTCACAAAACAGTGAACACTATGATTCCATTTAAATAAAGCATAAGATTTGGCAAAATAGTCTATGATACTGGAAGGCATGAGTAAAGTGGAACACAAGGTAGTTTGTGGGGTTCCAGTAATGTACTGTTTCTTGTTCTAGGTGCTGCTTCAACTACCTGTACACCTAAGATTTATTTGTACGTTTCTGTGAGTATATTCTTGTATTTGTCTGTTCTTGCTTTGTTATAAAGAAATGCCCAAGGCTGGGTAATGTATAAGAAAAGAGGTTTAATTAGTTCACTCTTCTGCAGGCTGTACAGGAAGCATAGTGGCATCTGCTTCTGGAGAAGCCTCAGCAGGCTTACAATCATGACAGAAGTCCAAGCAGGAGCAGTCACCTCACATGATGAAAGCAGCGGGGAGAGGTGGGGGATGAAGGGAGGTACCACATACTTTTAAATGACTAGATCTCACAAGAACTCACTGACAAGAAGGCAGCATAAAGCAATGAGGGATTGGCTCCTATAATTCAACATGCAATTTGGGTATGGACAAATATTTAAACTATATCAATTGTATTTCAATAATTTGTAAGTGCTCAGACTACTATTCCCATCAAGTCTTGTTCTAGGAATTTAACCATCAACTTAGGAAAATGGGCTTTAGACACAGAATACACTCCTAACAAGGACACTTGTACAAATCTCTTTTTTCTTGTTGGAACTCTCCACGTTCTTCAATGCCTGCTTTAAGTTTTCGACTTCTTTGTGAACTTAGGAACTTCTGGACCATGCCAGCCAAATGAGCTGCTCTCCCTTCTCCAAACTCAGGTCTTACTTTTAATCAGTACAGTTTGTTCAATCCTTAGTAAATTCTACACAAGCTATCTTCCCAATTAGATGCTAAGCTTTCTGAGAGCAGAAAGGACCAAGGTACTTTCCTACTTCTGAGTAACCATTCCCCTTCCCCATCACACCTGGCATGGTGCTTTGTAGTAAAAATAAAATATTTATTAGTGCTCAATAAATACATGGATGATTGGTGAATCACAATGAAGGCCTCTATTAATGTTGGGTGGTTAAGGAGGAGAGCTATAAACTCAATAATAAAGAAGGGATGTAAAGAGATAATTAGAATCAGCCCCCACCGCTTTTAAAAAGGTGAATGTTTAAACTTGGGAGGACCAAGAATGCAGTTTATTCATTTTAATTACATCATTTCAGAGAATTCAGTTCTTCCCATAGGCAAAGAAGAGCATATCCTGTGGCAAGGCCTTGAGAGGTTCTTGGGAATGTGTAGGGCATAGAATGCAGCCCACAATCCCTACCGCCCAGTCTGCGGGTGGCAGAGATGAAGGGAGTGGCTTCACATGGAGTGTGTTCATCCATGGCAAATGGATTATAGCCTTTCTTTCTAAGCCACTCTAGCCAGATTATTTACTGAAGTATAGTCCTTAAGAAGATTAAGGCTAAATTATCAAGTAAAGCATGTATTCAGGAATTAAAGTCTGGTTGAAGTTACTCGCTTGCAAACTCTGGACATTATGATTAGGGGAAGCAGAGGCAGGAAACAAGATTGGAATCACAGAATCCCTTTAACAGGTAAATTTCCAAAGAGGAACTTCAGGGAAACAAACAAGATCAAGTGTTTAGCATCCAGGGCAATTAATACATGGTGGAAGCATCACATCAAGTTCCAACTCTGAAATCAAATCAAGCTTGACAAGTAGAGATGGAGGAGGAGGAAAGATGCAGTGGGAAGTTTGGAAAGGGTACAACATGAGGGCAGGTCAACAGATCTCTGGGCCTTAAACACGAGGATCTTCCTGTTCTGCCTGATCACAGCTCCAGCTCACTTGCTCTGTTTCTTTCAAGCTCCCTACATTTCTTTACAATTAAAAGCCATCAATTCATGTGTATCATATGAACCCAACCACTGTGCGAAATCTAAAAGAATAGAGAGAATTTTTTTTCTAGTTTCCTTGGCTAAGGAACATAATTCTTTCACCTTCCTGTGTTAAAAGAAAGAGCGAATTAATTTCAACATGATTTTGCACCTATTTCCTCACTGAACAAGCTGATAAAAGAACCTCATGTGTGTTGTTTTTTTCTTTCATGGGTGTTTCATTGATTAAAATTCACCTCCTATTCCACTAAAATTAAACCCAGGTCTCCGTACAATCTTTCTCATTTGCAGTTTTGCAAACATCCCACAGTGAACTACTTAGTGAGTACAAATGGAAAGCTGGAAGAGAGGGGGTGTGGGTTTATAAAGTGTCTCCTGGACTTTAGCCTCAGGCTACAATAAAATGTTAATGAAATGCATTAAAAAAACAGGGAAATAATAATTAACCATCTAGAACACCACTGATTCATTTAAAAAATTCTCCCCCTCCCCTGTCATTACACCTGTACAGGGAGAACAGGTCACATTGAGGCCATCTGGCAGCACTGCCTGAGGGTTATGGTCCAGGCAAACCAGGGAGAGCAAAGAACTCCAGAGGGAGCATGGATCATCTTCTGCTTGAGGTCAAATTTGGGGAAGTTATAGGAAACATATTGCACTGAACCCTGTCTTCAAATCCACGTTTAAATGCCTCCTGAATACTTCTCATTTTCATTTTGAAGATGCTACAGCAATAGAGACTCTACTGAAGATGTGGTGTAGAGGATTTACTCCTTGGTAATCTTCCAAAATAATGGATGCTAGTTCATGATTATTCTATTTTTTCCATAAATGTGCATTTCTATGTTTATTCCCTATCTGTCACCACACTGGATGCAATCAGATTTGTCATCTTTTGAGAAAATGATTTTTGAAATAGTTTTATGTGAGGTCAAGGAATGAAATGAATTATTTTTGTAGTGGAGATGAGAAGAGTAGGATGTTCTCTCAAAGGCACCCGTACCCTGGTCTGTCACATTCACGGGCCTTAAATTCCACAGAAATCTTCATACAGCAGAGCAACATTTGTTTTCTGAACCACAGGAGAAGAAATTCTAAAAATAAAAACCTGTCTCCAGGGACGCAAAGTACTGGTAAAGCAACACGGCAACATGCATAATGCAAAAAAAACAGGTCAAATTTAGTGATGGATGAACATCAAACGATTTCTAGCTCTGTTTCAATTTAGATACTTATTCAAAGCATGTCGAAATGATAGAAACCTCGTGGGTCTACATAATTGAGCTAAAAAAACTTTCTTGAGCATTTTTCCTCACAGCATTCCCTCTCTGTCTCTCTTTCTTTTTCTACCCCTCTGTTATTTCTTTTTCCTTTCCCCCTCTTTGCTTCTTTGCATAAAATCTGGAATGTGAAAGTTAAGAACTACACAAATATAGAAACAAGCATTGTGAAATTTATACATATGGTTCTGTTGGTTAGACTAACATGGAATTCTGTTTTTGTTCAGTCCACTTTTTCCTACTCAATTGTATTAAACCTGCTTCTCTTTGTGCTGTGCAGGATGAGGTGTTTACCTGACAAAAAATCCCAATTGTCTTCAAAGAATACTTTATGGATAACAAAAAAATATAATGCCACCATCTTGGAAATAGAGGTAACTTCCTTTCAAATTTTTCAAGTTATTTGTTTTTCCAATACTTCAATAATGTATACAGGGATACATAGTTTCATCCCTGATAAGAGTAATGTAAAGGACAGGAAACTGAGAATCAACAGGCCTCCTCGAGATTCCAGTTTTGCCACTTAATCTCTTATGAGTAAAGTTTTCTTGTCAATAAATTTGGAAGAATATTAACCATCAATGCCCTTAAAATACAATAAAAAGGACTAGTTATACCTGACGGTACTGAAGAAGGCTGCCACGTCAAGTCTAAGTATAAAGAGAAATGACAAAACAGAGAGGCTCAAGGATTTGCCCCAGAATCATAGTCACTGTGAAGATCTAGACAAAAGTCACAAAAATTTTGGAGTTCTAATCCTGTGGTCGCGCCCAACTCCTCATGTCAATATTCTGAAATGTGTCATATAAAATTCTTACGCAATAACACTTCACTTACAAAAAACCCTGCTTATTAGCAACAGATTCAGAAGGAAGGACGGTAAAGGGAAAACAAAAGACAGCCTCTGAACAATCTAAAACAAGGACTCAAATTTCATGCACTTTTTCCAGTTTGAACCGCTGAAGCCTTCCCTAAGACTGTTTACTTTTCCTTATATAGAAATTTAACAACACTAATAATATTGTTGCCAACCCATAATAAGTTAGAAAAAAAGAAAGGGCCCACTAGACAAAGACAACTTATAAAAGACATTTATTGATGTGTGGGACAAAGTCGAGGTTCTATTGATGTGTGGGGCAAAGCTGAGGTTCGGATATACCTTGTATAAATGTAAGTGATCTTATCACTGGTTTTTAGCAGAATCCCAAGATTTTCATTGTCTAAAAATATGTCATGAGAACGAGGTCTCAGTACATAATTGGAGATAGGATATATGCAGTCATGTTAGAGCAGAGAGGTGTGGCCACAGATTTCAAGTTATATAGGGCTCTTGAATAAAAAATTGCCATGATTTTAGAAAGAGGTTCAGACACAGAACATTCTGTTCATAAGAAGCAGTTGTTCTGGGGTAGAACATGAAGGCTGCACTCACATTCCCCCATCCATCCCTGAAATGTTATAAATTCAGGAGCCCTAGCAACTCTGCTGTAGAAATACCTACTCAATCCAAACAAGAGATGGATACTAGCCAAAAAGAGAAAGTTAAGACCCTGAGACCCAGTCTCATGTATCTGCAAGGAACGTAAAGCAGTTAATAGTGGAAAGAGCATCCCAAGGAGATTTGAAGTCACAGATGGATGAGCTTCACCACATCAAAGTCGCTAAGGAAAATGCAAGACCACAGAGGAACTGATGCTCCGTTACCTCCCTAATCTCATCTCCTACTGGTGTCTCTTAGTCTGGCCTACCTAACTTCCTTGCAATTCTTAAACAACGCCCTGTCCCTGTAGGGTCTTTACACTGTACGGTTCGTCTGCCTCAGGTATCCACATGAATAACTCGCTCATTTCCTCTAAGTCTCATTTCAGGTATCGCTTTGTCAATGAGTATTACTATAAGCATTGTGTTTCAGATTGCAACCTCCCTCCCCAACATCCCTGATTCCTATTACCCTTCTGAATGTTTTTCATAGCACATAATGCTTTCTATAGGCAATGTATTATGTATTATGTTTCTTATTACTTATGACAGTTATATTATTGTCTGCTTCCCCCCAGTGCTCCAGGAGAGCAGGAACTTTTGTCTGTTTTGTTTACTGCTGCAGCCTAAGGCCATAGAAGAATGTGTGGCAAATAGTAGGTGTTCAATAAATATTGATTATTTTGATGGTAAAATAAATCAGCAGAACTGTGGAGGAAGCACAGGCAATGAGTATATCCATAGTAGGCAACAGACATGATAGACAGTGGGAAGAGCTGCAGCTGAGGGATGATAGAAGCTGGAAGGGGTATGAATGATGTGTAGGACAATCCTCCCAGAAAGGAAAGAGCCGAGATTCTGTCACTTGACAAGTGGGGCTACGGATTCAGCAGACTTAGATACAAATGTTTAGGATGACCTTATTTAAGATCTACTGATCTGTGGGACCCAGGAGATGTTCAGGTTACAGGTGAAAATATCCCGATGCATCTCAAAAATGTCAGAGGTCATTGCCTCCTATAAATGGACTTTCAAAGAACATGTTCCTGATGCTACCTTGAGACATCAAAAAAGATTTATCATGCTTAATATGCTTTGGGAAATCTATGAAATCTCTAGGACTATTTCCATCAAAGGTATTTAAAATATAAAGACAGTAAGGCTAGGTTTCCATTATCTGGGAACCTGTCTTCTGTAAACAACCTCAACCCTAGACAATGGAGCAGTGGCAATGCAAAACCACAGGCTTGATTCTCTGTCCCAGTCACACCAGGGATGTTGTCTCTTGATTTGAGGTAAACAGGAGGATGGGGTCAGAGCTGAACATCAGCACAAGAAACGGATCCCGTGATTAATCACATTAAGGTCAGGGAGATCTAGAACAAAGTTCCCAGAAAAGAAGATACACTTAACAATCAGTGGGTGGACCCAGGAAGCATGAAACAAAGATAAAAGCTCAACTCTAAAATATTGTTAGGAAACTGTAATGCTAAGGACAAAAAGAACTTTACATATAAACATTGTATTCTTATAACTTCTAATGGCCTAAGCTGTAACAATTTGAGCAACACAGTAAATAATGATAGAACTGGCTAATAAGCCAAAGCATAGAACAATATCTATAAGTTTGTACTAATAGAAGTCATTGATTAAATAAATGAGGACAAATATTTTTTATTAAAGAATTCCAAATAATAAATGTAGAAGGAATTAGGAAAATAGAAAATCACCATAAGAACGCCACAGTAATAATTGCTGCAGGCAAGATCCATGAATGAATGCTAAAATTAGTGACTAAAACTTTTAGGGGAAAAATGATGTTTGAATAGACTCAATACATCTCCCACAAAATATATACTAAACACTCATCATTTTAACACATGTCCACAAATTCTTTGGTACTCCAGGAGAAGGAATTTGATATCTCTCCCCTTGAATGTGGGCTGAACTTAGTGACTTGCTTCCTAAGAGTATGGAAAGGGGAAAAAAATAAGAAATCAGGAAAAACTCTATTTAACAAAGTGATAATCACCAGTTAACATCACCAGTGATAAGCCATGCTGCTATCCTGTATTCCCTGATATGAAAAGAGCACTTCATTCCCGTGGTCTTCTTCCCCAAAATACATTACGGTAGTCCAATCATGAGAACATATCAAACCAACTCAAATTGAGGGTGTTTTACAGAAAACTCTTCAAAAGTATCAAGGTCATGAAAAGCAAGGAAAGACTGAGGAGCTGTCACAGATAAGAAGAAATTAAGAAGACATGCGTACCAAATGCAATGCAATTTCCTGGGTTGGATCCTGAACAGAAAAAGGACATTAGTGGAAAAACTGGCAAAATCCAAATAAGGTCCATAGTTTCCTTAACAGCCTTGCATCAATGCTAGATTTTTAGTTTTGATAAATGAGTCATAGTTATATAAGATAATAACATTAGGGGAAGCCAGGTGAAGGGTGTGTAGGAACTTTCTATGCTACTTGAAACCTTTCTGTAAATCTAAAATAATTCCAAAATTTTATATATATATATGTATTTACCTATAAATTTTATAAAATTTTAGAATGATATTATATATAAAAAGTTTATTACATACAAAATAGGATTAAAATAACTACCAGGATAAAAAATAAAAATAATATATGTAGGAAAAAATACACAGATTCAACTTTAACATAAAACTGAAATTGAGAAAACTCAGATGATTCTCAGGCCTTTGGCTTCTTGTTGCCAATACCATTGTCTTCAACAAAGGCAGGAACAAGTTAAGAAGAGGGTCATTGGCCTACTGAATTTTTATATGAATACAAAATTGAGAGGAGTCAACATCTAATTGATCTAAAACTAGAATGTTCTGTTACCCAGCTCATTGCAATTGAGTATTTGTCACTTAAAAGAATGGAAATTAAAAAAATAATTTTAAAAAACCATGATTTTCTCATCCACTTCTAAAGATTTGGGGAAGCTTAAACAAGATTATGTAAATCAAAGGACTTGGCAAAATATACAGAAGGTGGTCCTACAGGGTCCTCTGCATCTTCTAAAGAGATGAAATTATAAACTACATACTTTGGAAAGTTAATGTATTCTAGCAGCTGGCATGCTATGGGATTATAAGAAAGGTTCCCATAATAAGAATATGTAATTAACATAATAAGAATATGTAATTAAATACAAACCCTTCCTCCTCCATTATATCTGAAAACTGAAAGCTTTCTATAGTGGACTTTAAGTAGACTGGAAGGATACAGAGTTACAAGTAAATTCACTTCATTTCTCGGGATATCATTATCTCAATACACAGCTAACAAAATGAAAACACTCTTGATTGTCTCACCTGTAAAATAAAGAAATATGTAGATAATCTCCCAAAGCCTTTCCAGTTTAAAAGCTTTTTATGATACCTATAGTCTTCCAAGAAGAGAGAACTCAAGTTAATGCTTTGCATGATTACAGTTGGGGCATTGGGAAATAAATCCATGCTATCTGTAAGGTTGCTGTAGATTTCAATGCATGTCACATGAAAAAAAGTACAGCCTTTATAGTGAACATCCTTACTATGAACACACCCTGAGGAGATTCTGGACCCAGTAATCTCTCTAATTGCAAATTGCAGTTTCCTGCCTAGGTTCTTTGTGTTCCATTATCCACACCGCTCAATCTCTAACCACCAGTAATCCAACCAACCAATGAACCATAATAAAAAATGGCACTACATTTATTCCTGTCTCAGACATTACAGTGTATGGCAATTTATGTTTTCTTTACATTAAGGCCTCTGAATCAAGGTGAAAATAAACCTCATTAATTGTTTTCAGGCATATAGATTTGCCTGACTTCAAGTAGGCAAAATAAAAGAAATAAAGTATTTTTTTCCAACTTTGACCAATTCATAGGAAAGGAACTTATAAATCTAGTCCAAATAAATCTGTTACATATCAGTCCAGAATAATTACCCAAGCCCAGCTCAAACTCAGTTCAATTGACCATCTAGGGCCAATGTTTTTATCTCTGTGATGTTTACATAAATCTCATAATAATCATCATTCAGGGTTTGGCTTGAGGGCTGCTGAGAGAATAATACTATTTTTTTAATTTTTTTTTTTGTTGTTGTTGTGGGGAGGGCGATGGAGTATTGCTTTGTCACCCAGGCTGAATTCAAACTTCTGGGCTCCAGCAATCCTCTTGACTCAGTCCCCCAAGTAAATTGGAACTAAAGACCTGGATCACCACTCCTAGCTTGAAAAATAACTTTCAAAGGCACAAACTTCATGTTAAACCCCACCTTTACCAGCCTGCTAAAAAGAAACTTCAGCATATATTACTAAATATTGCCTTCTCTGTGAATTGAGAGTTACTTAAGATGTGAAAAAGTCTTTATATACCCCCTTCTATTTCAGAGGTGTGTTGCCCTGAAACAGCCACAGCTACTAACACATCTTGGCATCATATAATTAAGAGTGCTTGGTGTGATGTCACCAATCTGCCAACCCAAAGGAGTGTTTTAATTTATGCAAATTAACAAATTTGAGTAGACATATTCCTAATCTAAGTTACATGTATTTTGGGATTTGAAGTTTTCAGATTTGGGAGGGATAATAAGGCTCATATGAAGAGTACCAAATAGTATCTCCAGCGAAGTCTGCAGAAGCACCCAATAAAACATGATTATGACTACCGTAAAACACATGGATATTTGTAATCGGTGGGATAAATAAAGGTTATTACTGACCCCCATCAATTCAGGACAAGTTTTTCCCTCAAATAAATTATTTTTAAAAAGTCACTTTCAAGAACTTCTTGGATTTTGGAGTTGAGGTTAATGAATTGTGGACCTGTAATTGTGTGAACCAGTAATTATGTGTGAACCAGTAAGTGAGTGTAAGAAGGATACATTGAAAAAAAATCATTTTATTTTAATGTCCTCTTTTCTAGTAAAGAAATCGTTTCTCCACTTCAAAGAGTTAAAATAATCTTTTGAGAGTTGATCCTAATTGAGACCTCAGCACCTCACCTTCAAAAGGATCCATGTAAGTAGATCAGCACGTGTATGTGCTTCCAATGTAGACTCTATGGTAATTTATTGCTTCCAAATTCCATCCAGTTTCTTTTATAATGTTCACAGATTCAGAAGACAGTTCTGCTCACATCTAAAATAGCGGCCCACCTGTTTCCATTTATCCCCCTTTCATATTAAGGACAACGTAACCCCAAACCTTTATCTTCAACCTTTAAACATTTCACACAGGCCCATTTGGGAAATTTATTGTTGCCTTAAAGAGACTTGTCTTTTTCATTCAGTGTATCCCACTACAAAAATCAACTCAGTACCTGTTAACCATCTGGTCTCTGTATATATCAGGCCAAAATTTCCAGATTTTCTTCTTGGAGTTTTCTCTGTAGAAGATGAATCCTATTAGGTGAAAAATAATGCTGGAAGAATTGCAAGCCATTATTCTGAGCACAAATGACACTTTCCTTAATAAGTGTTCCCAGTCTAAATCAGCTTTGAACTTCAGATCTGCCTGGATTCTGGGGTTTGTTTTCAATAGTCATAGCCAACATGATGACATCTTTGGCAGAGACTTACATTTTTTAATCAGCAAAACTGTAGTGTATGAAACAAATTCAAATGCTCCTTCCTTTTCCATGTCAGAAATTTCCGGAAACCTAACTTAGCGATTCTAGAACAGAGAGAACAAAATTAAATCAGGCTTTATTGTTTCATAACAGCCAGTGTCTACCAGTAATTTGAAATCTAACAGGATTTTGTAACAATAAATAGGGAAAGATTTACTTTTTGAGAATGCATAGGATGATATAATAGTGATAGCAAACAATGGTGAGCACTCAATAATCTGAGCAAACCATTTTAACAGTTTATGAATGATTGTCTTTTCCTCCAGGTCAATGTTTCTCAAGTCTGTCTTCACATTAGAATCACCTGAGAACCTTTTTTAAAATGCCAATGCTCCACTACATAGCAGAAATTAAAACAGAAACTCTAAAAAATGGGTTTCAAACGTCTTTATTTTAAAAGCACTCTAGATGATTTAAATGTGCAGCCAGGTTTGATAACAACTGCTATGAGCTATTCATTCACTTATTCAATCATTCAACAAATATATGTTGCGTACCAACTATGTCCTAGTCCTTTTCTAGGTACCAAGGATTCAGAACAAACATTCAGAGTGTCTGGAAAATAGTTATTAAAGTTCACAGGTGATATTGGATGGGCCACAAGGGCCATGTCATGCAAAACATTGAAGAATTTCTGGTTTTATTCTAAGTGAAATGGAAAGCCATCAAGGGGAAGGGGGTTTAGCAAAGGAATGACATGATTTGATTTATATTTTAAAAAGAACATTTTGGCTGTTCCTTGGAGATTTAGATCAAGTCCAAGGACAGAACAAACCACAAGTTTGGGGAGCAAGACAATAGAAGATTTTGGGAACTTGCTTTTATGATTACCTTTGTCTTAGACCAACAAAGTGATGTGCATGTTGTTTTACAAAGTCATCATTCCTCTGGGCCGCATTTGGATGAATTACTCTTTCACCAACCCACTTAGTGACCAACTATGGTTTGAAGGAGACTGCATATGACTTCCTTTGCTACTAGAGAGAACTCACTTTCAGAGTTCAGTACATGTTTCTCAGCTTGATGATGCATGGCGGAGTGCTTCCCACACTAGGCATTTGCTTAGTAATAGGAGGATAAAAAGAATCTAGGAAATGACTCTTTCCAGCTGAGACACATATATACCATGTAGAAATGCTAACTCTGCTATAGGCTGCCAAACAGGTGCTCATGTCTACAACCAGGGAAAAAGCTATAGTCTCTAACTAAGATCCTATTTGGGTGATAACTAAAATAAGATCCTATGTGTTTATCATAAATTGTAAAGCAAGCATTTTCCCTGCAGTGGGTTTATATGTGAGTCATAGTACAAATAAAATAAGCCAATGGTTGATGAACTAAATAACTCAATATGTGTTGTGTTGTAACCAGACCGCAACTGAGAGTCAGTAGCAGCAACTAGGGAGGAGGAAAAAAGCTGGAACTGCAAATCCTAACAACACACAACCCACTCTGTTAGCATCTTTTATTTACCATTGCACAAATTTTTTTCTTCAGTTCAGACTATTCTGAAATGTGATGCAAACTAATACTGATACCAAGGCCAAGAACGATGAAAGAGTCTAAGATGTTCCTGCATAAATGGGCAGAAACCAAGTAGTGCAGCATTTCGGTTGGGTTTTCTCCATTTTAATCAATCAATTTATTAATTTTAGCCAGGAATTGTAAAACAGAATTTTTATAAGATGATATTGAAATACATGCACAAAAGTAATTTTACCATTTTGAATCAGAAACACAATAGCTGATAAACGCTCTCATTGAAATTGTTGTTTTTATAATGATACTTTTGAGGGTACACGTTTTCTTAGGAAGCAACCGATTTTATCTTAAAGCAGAATAAAAAGAAAGTGAAAAAATTATTTGAGATTAGGCAAACTGCTGCAAACGTCGATTTAAGCATACTCACTCTTGAAAATTCATACATTTCCAATCTACTGACAGATAGTAATGACTTTGGTTAGTAATTTACTTATATTTAAAACAGTAATCCCATTTGATAATACAAATGAATCAGTCATTCAACAAAGAATCACCGGGCGCCAGTGCTAGGCACTGGGACGTACAATGAGTAAGATAGATAGTGTTTCTGTTTATCCAAAGCTTGTTGGGCTGGGTGTCTGCCTCATTTTCTGTCCCCTCACTATGTTTCATAGCATTTGTCATTACTCAATTTTGTGCATTTATTT
Organism: Homo sapiens; assembly: GCF_000001405.40. Lineage (NCBI taxonomy): Eukaryota > Metazoa > Chordata > Mammalia > Primates > Hominidae > Homo > Homo sapiens. The sequence continues at coordinate 71,071,776 of NC_000012.12, forward strand.
ATTGTTATTTTCCTCTGTTAGCCTTGGAGAGGAATCAACTTATTTAATGCTCTTCCATCAGCTCTCAGTCAGTGCCTGACTCATAATTAGCTTTTCTTAAATATCTGCTGAATAAATCAGTGAATGAATAAACCCAAGATCATATGACTTATAAGTTACAGAACTCAAACCAAGCCCAGATCTCTCTGACAGCAGAGGTCACATTCTTCATTATACACTCCCCTAATCTTCATGGCTTCTTAAATTATGATACCTTCAAATGAGAAACAGCATATATGTTCTATAGGATGGGTGCCCATTCAATAGAATGGTACAACCAGTAGAATCAAGTTTTCAAATTACTTTTAATGATGCTAAAAATTGCTGATAACATAATTTTGAGCAGGAAGAAAAGTAGGATACCAACTTGCATACACAACATGAGAAACATTACTGAAAGAAGATGCCAAAACAAAGCTGAGAGGAAGATGATTAAAATGTTTAAAATAATTAACTCTGGATGATTGGATTGTGATAACTTTTGCCTTCTTCTTTTTACCTTTTCCTATTTTCTAAATGTTCTATTAAAAACATGTAACTACTTATATAACTATAAAAAAATTTAATACCTAAGTGTAATTTTTAGTGGAATAGAAGAGGAAAAAAAACCTCACTAGGCAAGACTTTCAGTATCAAAGAAACAGAGGAAACGATTTTCAGAAAATTAATTCAGCTAGCCCTAAGGCACTGTGGGAGGTAGACACTCTCCAGATGTACTTTTGAAGCTAAATTATAGAAAATCTCTCATGCTGACTGAGTTCAGAATTCATCTCAAAGTAATAGGGAGCCATTGAGGGTGGTTGAGATGATGGGGAAATGTTGTCAAATGCTCAAAGCCTAAGTAATTGTGAGAAAAGTGGCAAAACAAGAACACTAATCAACCACCATGCTAATGATTCCTCCTCATTGATAGGTCTTCGGATTTAACATTCCATATCCAGATGTCATAGATCCACACAAGCATAGATTTACTTGCCAAAAGCTGTGTTTTGCTCGAAATTTTTTGCCACTGCAAATATGTCAGTGTCCCCTCTGAAACACCTATCAAAAGAGTCTGACCTTAAAAATATAACAAATGAAAAACCTTTTCTCAAAATGTAGAGTTCAACTAGGCATTAGTTTTCTGTTTCTAGTATTTCTATTTGTTTCTTCTAATATGAAATTCATGATAGAGGATTGGCATATAATGTAAGAGTATCTTTATTATTCATTTGAATTTCTTTTGTAAAAATTCTGTTTTGTGAGGTTTTCATGCCAGGTATTTTCCATTTTACTTTCTTTTTCCCTTTGGTATGAAATAAAATTTTTCTAGCACTACATCTGGAAGCCAGTCAGCCAAGGGAATCAAAGGGGACAAAAGGAATAGACATGTTCCCATTAATATACATACTTACGAGATTAGTAGAGTGATTGGTCAAACATTTATCTTTTATTTTCTGCAGAGATAGACATCTGTAGAAATTTTTAAAAGTTAAGCATATAATAGAACCCTTTTCTAAGCAGGGATTCAAAAGCCTCATGAAATTTTCTACGTTTTTTAACTCTGAAAAGGAAATACTTAATATGTGCACCAATGTATGTAAAAATCATGTGTCCACCATTTCTACCATGAAAACTCATACTTGTTCTTCCCTATTTACCTTAAATGTCAATTTTTTGGTGAGGTCTACTATATTTGAATCTTTTTTATTTCAAGGGAAAGAAACCAAACTCGAACTAGCTTAAGGAAAAAAAAAAGGCTCATATAAATTAAATTGAAGTTTTGACTTATATCCTCCAAGCTTAGCAACCACAGCAGAAAGAGTGCAACTTTTTCATCACAATTCCACCAAGAATCCTAGATTTACCTTTCACAGGACTAGGTTGAGTATTATGCCTATCTCTGGGCTCATCACTGCGGTTGGGGCATGTAATGCTCTAATTGGTCTGAAGGGATACTGTCTCAGCAGTCAAGTGGGAAATCAGTTCTGGACAGAGAAAATAACAGGAGGAAAGGTCAAAGGCTTAGAATCAAAAGAGCATGGAGTGTCTGGGGAATTACAAAGTATATTGTTAAGGAAAAACATTTAGAAAGGGGGGAAATGCAGAGATGAGGCAGCAGAGTTAGCCTGCGACTGGATGATGAAAGACCAGGAATGTCGTGCTTAAGAGTTTGGTGATTATCCTGAAATTAGGAGGGCAGCAGTTGAAGGATTTAAAGCTAGGGACTAATATGGTTATATTTGCATCATTAGTTAGATAATTCTTTTTGTTTGTTTGTTTTTTATTTTTTAGTTAGATAATTCTTAAAGCCAAGTGAAAGATGGATTGGAAAAAGGAAAGTCTATACTGCATAAAATTTGGATCTATATTAGAGCAGTTATACTATTAAATTGTAACAATTGTTCATATGCCTGCTTTCCACACTTGACCCCCTGCTCCTCAAGGGCAGAGGAATTTTTTTTTTAATTCATCTATATAGTCCTATTCTGTCACTTAGATGCCAAACAAAACTCAATAAAATAAAATTACTTTTCAGTAAAATGACCAGAAGTTTTCTATATAAATCAGAAATGAAGGGAAAAGATATTACTGCAAATTCTATGTTTTAAAAATTCTATGAAAAAAGGCATAAAATATTAATCTAGGATTAGTTTGAGACATTAAAATGTACTGAACAATTACATACACACTTTTTCTCTGGATTGGAGAGTTTGTTTTGCTTTAGAAAGACTGTTGCAAATGTGGTAGCTCATGCGCCATTTTATTTTTTTCAATTCATGCCCTACAACAGGAGTTGGCAAACTTTTTCAGTAAAAATTCAAGGAGTAATTATTTCAGTCTTTGTAGGCCAAATGGTCTCTGTTGCAGCTATTCAAATCTGCCATTGTAGCATAAAAACAGCAATACACAATTCATAAACAGATTTGTGTGGTTGTGGTCCAATAAAACTTTGTTTATGAATACTGAAATTTGAATTTCATGAAATTTTATGTCACAAAATATTGTTATGCTTTGTTCTTTTACCAGCCATTTAAAATATAAGAACCATTTTTAGTTCACAGGCCATATCAAAATGAGGTGGCAGCAGGCAGGATTTGACCCCCAGGCTGTAGTTTGCCTACTTCTGCTCTACTAAATCTGGAGTAACTGATTTTGTTCACATCAATATCAACTAGCATGTTGTGTGCCTGCTATGTTCTCATAGTTTAACATCTTTTTCTTTTTGTTGAATTTTGTTCAGATTATATGTTCATTAAATGCTATCACAATACCATCATCTTTCCATCTTTGAAAATTCAGTTCAATATTTTCTCCATTTTATCCTTTAAAGTACTTTAAACTTTATTTTAAAATAAATGAATAATAAAAACACTTCTTGTTGTGATCATAAAAAGCAAGACTCCAGCCTATCTTGATTCTAATTTATCCTAATTATAATTTAAAAAGATAAGCAAGATGTTCATACAGACTAATTATACCTGGCAGACCAGTGAGTACTTATATTTATTTATTATGTTTATTAATCATCAACTTGCAATTTAACTTCTGAATAAGTAGTTAGGAACCCAACGTGAGATTTAAGCGATGTGGGAAAATCCTCCTGCCCCCAGATACTTCCCTTTGCCCTAGCATGGTGCCAGAAATACTAGACGTTCGTTTATTTGAATCTCAACTGATCAAGTATTCATTCCTTTGTGTAGGGCTCTCAGTTTTATTTTCTAACACCTTAAAAGATAAAGAATAGCAGTCAATTGAAAGCAAAAAATACACATAGGACTGAAACACTATATATAGGCTCCAATCCTGTGGCTACAGGGTAGGAAGAAAGAGGAGAGAAACAATGGAAAGGAGGGCATTAGGAAAAGAGTCTTGAAAGAGAAGGTAGAACACAGAGAAGAAAGCTATTTCTGATTTCGTGCTTATGCCTAAAATAATCCTCACAGTCCTGGATTTCCTGTGCGAGTCATGGCATAATGTTTCAATTGTTTAAAATATTAGTCTTCTTTTTTATGTGACACTACCTATTGATAAGATTGCTAAGGGAATAAATAAAATTATTCTTATTTCCTGAGTCTTTTATCCCCTTTCAAAGAGTCAAGTTCCCAAACAATGGTAATAAATGAACCGTGATAGAGCAATCTGGGGAAAGTTTTACTTGACCTGTAACTTAGCTTTGTAAATAATTCTAGACAGTCATGAAATGACTATGCTTGAAAGATAATTGCTCATTGAGGTAGCAAATAAACTCTGTTTATACAATTCAGCAAGAATATAATATCCACAAAAGAATTTACTTTAAAATTATAGTTTCTAACTGTCATTTGAATGTATAATTTGTATAGGATTTTTATATACCAGGATAATTGTATAACTTTACATTTTACAAAATATATGTTATACATTCTTTAAAGAAAGAAGAGAAAATAGTTTAGTATTCCAGGATTTTTAAATTTTATTTTTTTGTGAAGGGACACAGAGAGAGGGCAAAGGGAGGAGGCAGAGTTTGGGATGACACGATCAACCGAAATCGGGAAAACAAACTATAAGTGAGAAAGACACAAGTGCTGCCATCCCAAAGAATAATGCTTTGATGTGTGGGAGCAAAGAGAGGGAATGAAAGACACAATACACTATAACAACAGAGGGTTTTATTTTTCTTTTTTCCTAGTGGAATAGTCTTCCTGGTGTCTATCTTTCATTCGTGCATTCCAAAATATTTATTAACTTTACTGAACGATAATTTGTTACATATTATACTAGATGTTTTAAATACTAGGATAAATAATATACAATCCCTGACTCCACGGACCTGGAAATCTCATTAGTGAAAGACATGGACATGTAAACAAGTTATTTTTTACATTACAAATCAGAATGAGGTAAATCAAATATATGTCTATATAGTGCACTTTGGGTAATATCTACAAAAATGATCAAGAGATAAGAGCCTGTGAATGATAACATAATGGAGGCTCCTTGGGTGTTGAATTTTATTTAGAAAACCAGAGGGTAAGTGTTTGAGCTGATTCTAATAATGCTTTGAAAGTGTTACTTGTCTTAAACACTTGGGGCATAAGATAGAAGATGAGACCATGGACCTATTGAGTGCGAGATTGGAACTAAAACTCCCACATCAACCATAATCTTCAATGTATTGCATTCTCAGTAGAAAGGTAGGTTAGAACGATGGGCTAGTCACAATTCTTATTCTGATATAGAGATAAGATTGGGAACTTGGTGTTTCCATTTGGGATCCGAGAGGCAAAATCTCCTTGGAGATTTTGTGACTGCATTCATAAACACACACAATGTTAAAATTTGAAATTTATACTACAAAAATCATTTGAGAACACCCAAGCCCAAAAATTAATATAACAATCTGTCCCTAGGAATCCCAAACACAGAAATGCAAGAAAAAATACTAAAACCCTCTAAAATTAGCTCATAGTTTTGAAAAAAGTATAAAACAATAAAGAGTTGAGCAAGAACCAATAGAGAAATAGAAGCCCAAGAAATTGATAGAAAAACAATATGAAAGAGAATAAAAAATTAACACATGTAAAATGGAAAAAGGCCAAAGACATACAACATTAAAAAATAAATTTCTAGAAAAAAATACCAGTGACATGGCATTAAAGAGAGACATCGCTAGGAAGCAGGTTTCTGCATAGGTGAATATGTACAAAATGACTCTTGTCTTTGTTGTTTTAATGTCTAGATAATTAATATAAAAACATAAGAAAAGGAACTGCAATTCTAAATAAAACTATTATAAAAAAACAAATTGAATGAAGAAACAAACAGAATTTGTTCATGAATTGTTTTTTAAATTTTATTTAATTTCCTATCTGTATTTTCTTGTAATTTTTTGAAAACTTTAGGAAGTTTATTCTGAATTCTTTGTCAATTATTTCATAAATCTCTATTTCTTTTGGCTCCATTACTGGAGCTTTATTAGTTTTTTTGGTGGCATTATATTTCCATGGTTTTCCATAACTCTTGTGTCCTTAGGTCATTTGAGGAGATGGCCACCTCTTCTGGCCTTTGCAGGTGTTCTTTTGTAGTAAAGCTTAACTATTTAGTCTAGCCTGATATTCTGGATGGGTGGTCTGGCAGCAATCCCAACAGGAAGACCTTAACAAAATACTAGTGAACCGAATTTGACTACATAACAAAAAGAATCCATCATAATCAAGTGGGTTTCATACCAGGGATGCAGGGATGGTTTAACATACGCAAGTCAATAAATGTGATACATCATATAAAGAGAAATAAAAACAAAAATCACATGGTTATCTCAACAGTTGCAGAAAAAGCGTTTGACAAAATCCAGCATCCTTTATGATTAAAACCATCAGCAAAATTGGCATACAAGGGACACACCTCAACACAATAAGAGCCATCTATGACAAACCCACAGCCAACATAATACTGAATGGGGAAAAGTTGCACAAATCTTAAGAACAGAACTGAATATATTTTACACATGCATGAACATGGGCAACCATTTTGCACATCAAGATGCAGAACATTGATGCATGGATTCATCAGCAGAGAATGGAAGCCTTATTTCTCAAGGTGTTTGAGGACAACCTTTGTCCAATCACTGGATGATGACTAAGATATGCAGACACAAAGGCAAACTCTAGAAGACCAAACTTAAAAATAAAAACAGATCATATGAGAAAAGAAAAGGAGGCAGAGACATCAGTGGCCACACAATACAAGAGAGAAAGTTTTCACTGACCACCTCAGCAAGTTTCTTCAGGAAAAAAATGTCAGAATCTAGCATTGATACAATTTACTAATCTAAAATGTCAGCTTTTCAACAGAAATTTATGAGACAGAGTTTAACCTACATTCAGGAAAACAAGTAGCCAATACAATCTGTTTTTGAGTGTTCCCAGATATTGGATTTTGCAGACAAAGACTTCAAAGCAGCTATTTAAATATATGTTCAAAGAACTAAAGGAAACAATGCTTAAAGAATTAAGGAAAATCATGACAGCAATGAGTTTTAAAAATAGGGATTCTAATTAAAGACATTACATTATTTTTAAAAATAAAATAAAATTTTATAATTAAAGAGCATAATGATTAAAATCTTTTAAAATTACTAGAGGGCCTCAACAAATTTGATACAGCAGAAGAAATGATCAATGATTTGAAGACAGAATAATAGAAATTGTTCAACCTGAAGAACAGAGAGAAAAAAGATTGAAAAAAACTGAACAGTTAAAGACACCTACGGGACAACATTTGGCATAACAATATATACATAATGGGTGTCCAAGAAAGAGAGAAAAGAGAGAAAAAGGAATGGAAGAATGTGAAGAAATCATGTTTAAAACATCTTAAATAAAAATACAATCATAACCCATTGTATACATTTTTATTTTTGTAATTTATTTTATTGAAGAAATGTAGTAGTTACTAATTCAGCTGAATACTGGTAGACTGTATAGCCTCTTTCTGCAATATTCTGTGGACACAAGATGGGATTCTGTTCATTATGAAATTTTATGTAATAGAATTGCCAACACCATTTGCTCACATCTAACTACAATCAATTCTCCTACTCACCCACATCCCTCAACATTTCACCTTTTGAAGTTCAGTTGAGGTATCACCTATTCTAAGAATTATTTTCCTAACATCTGCTCTCCCAATCCTTCTCAGAATGGAATAGGTACACACAAATTGTGCTTCCAAGCACTCTATGAATATATTCAGTATTTCGCTAAAACATATCATTGTTTTATAGCAAATGGCTATATGATTTTCTTTTCTCCACTAGAATGAAACACATGGATTGTGTTTTATTTATTTTTCTATCCCAAATGCTTATTTTAACATCTAGTAAATAAAAAAATTGATTTATTTATGGAGAGAATGAATAAATGACTGAATGTAGGATTTAGGATAAATATCATTTTAAAACACATCATTCATATTTGCTCTGGAGATAATTTCATAATGGAACAAATATAGAATGTGTTTCTATAATCATCTATGAAAGAGGTGAAAACACTGGTTAAATACTTAGGTTCTGTCCTAATACTTCCTGATTTCCTTGTGTCTTCATCTTTTAGTAGCTGGGAAAATATCTTTCTTTTAAGGTCTCAGATTCTTCATTTGTAAAATAGAGATGGTTATTGTAAGGGTTAAATAAATATATATAAAGCAAATAGAAGAATACTTGGAAACAGTTGGCCCCCAAATAGCTGTTAATCATTAATTCATTGTTAAATAGATGTGTAAACATAAATCAAATATAGTTTATTAAAGCATGACTTGTATTAAAAGGCAGAAAAAAAAAAAGATTCAGAACATTTCCAGCACCCTAGAAGGTTGCTTCCCAGTTCTTACCTCTTTCCCAAGGGTAAGCATACTCTGACCTCTATTATCATTGATTAAATTTGACTGTTATTTAATTATGTATAGAGAGGATAATATGACATCTTTTCTTTATATTTGACTTCTTTTATTCAATAATATATCTGTAAGATTAATCCCTTTGTTTCGTGTATCAATAATTTGTAATTTCATTCATGTGTAGTATTTCATTTTATGAATGTAATACAATTTATTTACCCATTCTATTTTTGATGAACATTTGTGCTAGTTCCAGTTTTTTGCTACTACAAATAAAGTTGTTATAAACATTTTTGCTTATGTCATTTGGTGCACATAGAAATGGATTCAGGAGTGGAATTTCTCTGTCATAGAGTGTTCCTTTTAGTTTTCTTACAGATGGAGTATTGCCATATTTTCCAGGCTGGACTTGAACTCTCTTGGACTAAAGGGATCCTCCTGCCTCAGGCTGCCAAACAGCTAAAACTACAGGCACATGCCACCATGCCCAACTTGAGTACCTTATGTTTTGTTTTTTTAAAGACTGTCTTCCAAAATGATTCTTCTAACTTACATTCCTCATCAATGTAACAGTTTCAGTTGTTCCATATCCTTGCTAATGCTTATTGTCAGTCTTTTCAGCTGTTCTAGTAGGTAGTGTTATTTTATTGTAATTTTAATGTGAATTTATTTGATAATTAATGTTGCATATGTTTATAGACCTTTTTGATAGTCTTTCTTGTAGATTGGTTCTTCAAGTCTTTGCCTATTTTAAAACGAGATTATCTCTACTTTTATTAATGGTTTAAGGGTCTTCTTTATACATATCAGATATAAATCCTTTCAATTGGGGTCAATGAAAGACTGTTTGCACTCCTATGGCTGGAGACTCTGACAGTATCTGTCTGGTGAAATTTCTATAGACCAGTGACTGCTTTGTATCTTTCATTCTGTCCTGTTTGTAATTAGATGGCTTTTGTCCCATCACTTCACGTATTTCAAATACTTTTTCCAATCTGTAGCTTACCTCTTTACCCTTTCAATGATGGCTTTTTTATAAACAAAGTTGGTGATTTTATAGAAGTATATTTTATCAATCACTTCTTTTAAGGTTAATGGCCTTTGTGACTATGTAAAAAATATTTGCCTATCTCAAGGTTATAAAGATATCCTGTTGTCTCATAGAAGTATAATTTATTTCACATTTAGGTCTATGGTCCATCTTGAATTAATTTGTACATGCGGTTTGAAATAGTGGTTAAAGTTCATTTTTTACAACATGGAAATATAGTTGCTTTGACAGCATTTATTGCAAAGACTACATGTGCCAGTTATTAGGGTGTCTTTCAGCCCCAAACCTTCCCATCTATATGCTGCTTTGGGATGGTGGGTCTGGGACTTTGCAAACTACACTTCTGCTTTACCAGTTGGCTTCCAGTTAGGCTCTACCAATAGGGATTGAAGGAGGCTTCAAAGCTGGAGAAGGAGAAGACTTGTTTCTTCTTGTTTGTTTTGAGGACTTCTCTGGCTGATGGTTTCTGTGAGTGTCACCCCATTCCTGTGAGGCCGGGGTCCCAGTCTCACAGGCCTCCTCCCTCCAAGATCATAAGCACAAGCACCAGCTGGGCATCAGCCTGCAAGCCCTTCTTTAGTTTTCAAAGCTTTTCCCTTTGATCCTTCAGCCAGACGTGTGGTAGCTTTCTGAAATTGTGATACCCTACAGTTCTCAATTTACTTTTTAGTAGTTAATAACATTTTACTCTGTGAACAATGCTTTATATTAAATTCTCTTTGTTCAATTTTCTATCTCCTGACTGAACTTTTACTGATACACCATCTGTTCACCCCCTGAGTTGCAGTGGAATGTTACTGTAAGTCAGGTGACTTCATATAAATGGATATGTTTCTGGCATCTACTCTATGTTTTAAGTCTATTTGACTATTCTTGTGCCAGTAGCACATTGTATTAATTACTGTATTATTACGCTAAGTTTTAATATCCAGTAGTATCAGTTATACAGCTTTGTTTTTCTTTAAGCATTGTCTTGGCCCTTCTAGATACTGAATTTCCACCAAAATTTTAGAATCAGCTTATCCATTTTCATTTTTAAAATACACTGACATTTTGAGTGGGATTGTTGTGAATCTTCAAATCAATTTGTAAAATAACTGAAGTTTTACAATGTGGATTTTTTCATAACAAAGATATATTCATGAATATATCTATTTATTTAGGACTTCCATAATTTATCTCAAAAATGTTTTTTAGCTTTCATCATAGTGGTTTTCACATATTTCATTGGATTTAATCTTAGGTACTTGGTGTTTTTGATGCTGCTATAAAAGGTATAGTTTCCTATTTCATTTTCTACTTGTTTTTTGTCAATATATTAAAAACTATTTCTTATTGGTATTGTATTCACCAACTTTGTTAAATTTATTACTTCTAATAGTTTATAGGTTTCATTTATTCTTTTATAGTTTTGATAAGATGTGATTCTCAAGAAATGTGTCCTTTTAAACAAAGTTGTCAAATTTATAAGCATAAAATTGTCCAAAGTTGTCCATAATATCCTCTTATTTTTTTAATAGTCAAAGGTTCAGTAATGGCATCTTTGTTTTACTCTTTATATGGGAATGCTTTTTCCTCTATTTTATCATGATCATGTTGGATGTTTATTAATTTTATTAGTCTTTTCAAAGAATCAACTTCTGACTTTTGTTTTTCTCTATTAAGTATCTGTCTTTTTATTTTGTTGATGTTTTCACCTTTAATTTTTCCTCTTCTCTTCTTCTAGTATTTAATTTGCTCTCTTTTTATAACTTGTTGAAGATTAAATATGACTTCAAAGCATCGATTTGGCTGCATCTCACCAACTTTGATGTTGCATTTTTATTTTCATTTAGTTCACAATATTTTCTAATTTTTAAAAATCATATGTTGCTTAATTTCCAAACATTTTGTTGGCAGCTGTTGTGAGACCTTGGTTCTTGTCTTCTTAGTTCAAAAGAATTTAAACAAAAGATACACAGCAAAGGAGATGGAGAATAGAGTAATTTATTGCAAAAGAAAATGAATATTTTCAAAGTTAAGTGTAGAATAGACAGTACACCCTGAGAGAAAGAGACAGAATTCAGGGTGGGCTGCTCATAAGAATGAGATAGCATTGATTATTGCTGGAGAAATGCCTCCTATGAGAGTTTTGCATGATTATTCATAAGGAGGTGGGAAGAGGTGTTACTAGTAAGCATGTTCTAGGTGGTCTTCTGGATGCACATATGTAGTAGCTGTACATGCTTGTTCATAGATTGCACTTCTCATCAGCATCTTAAATCTCCACCCAGGACTGTGATTTTTATTATTATAATGAGTAAAGGGTCAGTTTGAGAACTGGTCTCTACGTGGTCTCTACACGGGAAATTCCCAACTGAAGACAGCTTTGCGTCAATGAGTTTAACTACAATGCAAATGCTGGGGCTTACTGTGTTGACTGAAGGGTTGCACATTTGCAGTGTCCTGAGGACATGGTTACTTCCTTGACTACCTATCCTGCCTCAATTTAAGAATTTTCTAGAACTTTTGTTATTGGTATTGATTTCCAGTTGAATTTTGTGTTGCTCAGAAAACCTAACCAGTATAATTTTAATCTTTTTACATTTATTAGTGTTTACTATGTATCCAAACATATGGTCTCTTTTGCCAAATGCTGAGTATTCTTCAGTTGTCTGGTATGATGTTCTATAAGTGTCAATTAAAGCAAGTGGAGTAATAATGTCATTCAAGTTTTCTATAGACTTATTTTTGTTGCGTCTTCTGTTAATTACTGAAAAAATATTCAACTTCTGTTAATTACTGAAAGATCTGATTATGGGTTTGTCTGTATTTCTTTTATATTCTGCCATTTTTTACTATGTTATTAGGTGCAAATACATTTTGAATGATTATGTCTTGTTGATGAATTTATTAAAAGACATAGAACAAATAGAGAGAGATAAAACAGTTTAAAATAAATATGATAAGCTTTCCAAATTAAACAGTAAGCTAAATGAAGACCAATCAAAATACCAACAACGTTCTTTTCTTGAAATTGTCATGCTCATTCCATAATTCATATAGAAGAATTAAAAGTCGAAAATAGATGAAACAACTCTGATGAATGAATATAAAAAGGGAGGATTTGGATTGTTATTCTTACAATTACAAATATACAGAAATTAAATCAGTATGGTACCATAATAGGGTAAGTACAAAAATCAAATGTATGGAAAATAAAATTTAGAACTTATCTATTTTTATGTCTATCTCTCTATCTCTAAGAGTTTGGTATGTGACAGAGGTACCATTACAAATTGGTGGGAAAAGATGGATTAATTCATAAATGGTCCCACTATTATTCATTTGGGAGGGGAAAGTGTCATATATCTACCTAATATACAAAAAAAATTGCACATGAATTAGAGACCTAAGTGTGATTTCTGGTTTGGGAAAAGTACAGGCTAGATACTTTGAGTTAAATTTCTGAGAATGTATATAAATGTTAAAAGTCTTTTAAAATACTTTGCTAAACTGGCAAAAAAAAAAAAAGAAATAAACGGAATGTGTAGAAGCCAAAACTGATGGAATAGTAGGATCATGTGATACATGTGCACTAAAGCAAGCTCTCATCCTAGGGAGTTTGGCTAAATCCTGGACACCTTGAGCTTCCAATTTGATGACTGCATGGGTCAAGGACAGAGGACAGCACTTGGGTCTAGCCAAAGTGGGGATTCTAACATAAAACTTCCACATAAAGCTGGTTTACCAAAGGGCTCTACCTTCCGTGTCAACAGGAAGAAGAAATAAACTGGCTATTCAGTATGTTTAGTCCTATGTGAAACTTTCCATTGAGCGAAAGTAAAAAAGCAAAAATCTACCCTGAGGATTTGTAACCACAAGTCATCACTCACAGTAGTTTATGAGCTGAATTAGCGCTACCTGTATGGTCTAAAAAAACCTCAAACAGAGGATTTTATTTAAAGTGGTCACAGGTTGTTGGTATCTTGATAAAATAAACAGAAGTAAACACAAATTATCTTGGAGAACCTCAACTACATTTCAAGCTTCAAAGAGCTCAAATAAAATAAAACCGTAAGGAAAATAATCATCTAGCAGTCAAAACACAGCATCAATATTGACAATTGATCGAGTGACAATTGACTGGTGTGACAATTAACAAATTATTTTTGAAAGCAATTTTTCAGTTTGGCAATACATTCTCAAGTGGCCCAGCATTTCCATTACTAGATGTATTCCCTAGAGAAACTTTTGTATATGTGTACATAGAGATATAAACGTATACATGATGTAGAGTACAGCCTGTTAGTTATTCAAAAGTTGAAGTAAATAAGCTGTCTCTCAGTAGGTGAATAAACTATGGTCATTGAAGGCAATTTCTTACAGTAGGAAGAATTAGCTCCCCTTGAATAAATCTAAAATTACGATGCTGAGTTTTTTTGAAAAAGAATGTGAGCAGGTTGTTATCATTCATCTAAATTTCTAAAATGCAAATTGCATGGTTATGTATACATATATTTAAAGCACAAAATCATACATGAGAATTGTAAACATTAACCTCTGAGTCATGATTACTTCTGGGGAGATAAGGAGGAAAGAGGTTTTGCAAGACAGGAGAAAATAAGACTTTAGCTATGTCTGCAATATTTACATTTTTTTGTATGAGACAGATATAAATTAAATAATGCATTTGTACATGGGAGACTATTTTATTCTTTTCTTGTCATATGTTTGAAACTTTTCAAATTATAAAATTTGAAACAAAATGAAAATGATAGGGAATCAAAGCCAAACTCATGTCTATAGAAGATATCTGTAATTAGTTGCCTTGTTTAATTTTACTCAATTAGGATATAACTAGTGCCAAATAATTCTTTTTTACAATTAAAGCTCAATTTAAAAATCCTAATTGGGTATGATTTGAAGAAGAAATCCTGAAACTACTACCCAATGTGATCTCACTCACAACCATATTTGTTTCAATTTTTAATTTTCATGGGTACATAGTAGGTGTATATATTTATGGAGTACCTGAGATGTTTTAACACAGACATGTAATATGTAATAATCACATCATGAAGAATGGGCTATCCTCCCCACAAGCATTTATTCTTTGTGTTACAAACAATCCAATTATACTCTATTGATTATTTTAAAATGTATAATTAAATTATTATTGACTTTAGTCACCCTGTTATGCTATCAAATACTAGGTTTTATTCATTTTAAAACTATTTTTTTTGTACCCTTCCACCCTCCGCTATCCTTTCCAGCCTCTGGTAATCATCCTCTTACTCTCTATCACCATGTGTTCAGTTGTTCTCATTTTTAGATCCCACAAATAAGTGAGAATATGCAACATTTGTCTTTCTGTGTCTGGCTTATTTTGCTTACATAATAATCTCCAGTTCCATCCATGTTGCTGCAAATGACTGGATCTCATTCTTTTTATGGCTGAGTGGCTGAGTAGACTCCAGTGTGTATATGTACCACATCTTTTTTTTTTTTTTTTTTTTTTTTTTTTTGAGATAGAGTCTCACTCTGTTGCTCAGGCTAGAGCGCAGTGGCACGATCTCGGCTCACTGCAACCTCTGCCTCAGGGATTCAAGTGATTCTCCTGCCACATCCTCCTCGGTAGCTGGACTACAGGCACACAGCACCACGCTTGGCTAATTTTTGGATTTTTAGTAGAGTTGGGGTTTTGACATGTTGGCCAAGCTAGTCTCGAGCTGCTGACCTCAAATGATCCACCCACCTTGGCCTTCCAAAGTGATGGGATTACAGGTGAGAGCCACCGGGCTCTCACATTTCCTTTATCCATTAACGTGTTGACGGACACTTAGGTTGTTTCAAAATCTTGGCTGTTGTGAACATTGCTGCAACAAATGTGGGAGTGCAGATATCTCTTTGATATACAGATTTCCTATCTTTTGGGTATATGCCCATCAGTGGGATTGCTGGCTCATATGGTAGCTCTATTTTTAGTTTATTGAGGAACCTCCAAACTGTTCTCCATAGTGGTGGTACTAATTTACATTTCCACCAACAGTGTACAAGGGTTCCCTTTTCTCCACAAGCTTGCCAGCATTTATTATTGCCTGTCTTTTGGATATAAGCCATTTTAACTAAAGCGAGATATTTTCTCATTGTAGTTTCAATTTGCATTTCTTTGATGATCAATGATGTTGAGCACAATTTTATATGCTTGTTTGCCATTTTGTATGTATGTCTTCTTTTAAGAAATGTATTTTTGAATCTTTTGTCTATTTTCTGATCTGATTATTAGATTTTTTTCCTCTAGAGTTATTTGAACTCCTTATAGATTCTGGTTATTAATCTCTTCTCAGATGGGTAGTCTGAAAACATCTCCCATTCTGTGGGTTGTCTCTTCACTTTGTTGATTGTTTCCTTTGCTGTACAGAAGCTTTTAAACTTGATGTGATCCCATTTGTCAATTGTTGCTTTGGTTGCCTGTTTTTGTGGGGTATTACTCAAGAAATTTTTGCTCAGACCAATGTCCTGGAGATTTTCCCCAGTGTTTTCTTCCAGTAGTTTCATAGTTTGATGGCTTAGATTTAAGCCTTTAATCCATTTTGGTTTGATTTTTGTATATGTTGAGAAATAGGGGTCTAGTTTCATTCTTCTGTGTATGGATATCCAGTTTGCCCAGCACTATTTCTTGAAGAGACCATCTTTTCCCCAGTGTATCTTCTTGGCACTTTTGTCGAAAATGAGTTCACTGTAAGTGTATGGATTTGTTTCTGTGTTCTAGAATCTGTTCCATAGGTCTATGTGTCTATTTTTATGCCAGTACCATGCTTTTTTTGTTACTAATGGCTCTTTAGTATAATCTGAAGTCAAGTAATGGGATTCCTCAGTTTTGTTCTTTTGCTTAGGATAGCTTTGGCTTTTCTTGGTCTTTTGTGGTTCCACATCAATTTTAGAATTGTTTTTTCTATTTCTCTGAAGAATGTAATTGGTATTTTGGTAGGGATTGCATTGAATCTACAGATTGCTTTGGGTAGTATGGACATTTTAACAATATTAATTCTTTCAATCCATGAACATGGACTATCTTTTCATTTTTTGTGTTTCTTCTTCAATTTCTTTCATCAGTGTTTTATAACTGCTATTGTAGAGATCTCTCACTTTGGTTAAACTATTTCCTAGGTATTTAATTTTATCTGTGGCTATTATAAATTGGATTTTTTATTTCTTTTTCTGATTGTTCACTGTTAGAATATACAAATGCTATGGATTTTTGTATGTTGATTTTGTATCCTGCAACTTTACTGAATTTGTTTATCAGTTCTAATAGTTTCTTTGTGGGGTCATTAGGTTTTTCTAATTATAACATTATATTATCTGCCAACAAGGATAATTTAACTTCTTCCTTTCAATTTGGATGTCCTTTATGTCTTTCTCTGGTCTGATTGCTCTGGTGAGGACTTCCAGTGCTATGTTGAATAACATGGTGAAAGTGAATGTCTTTCTTGTATTCCAGATCTTAGAGAAGAGGCTTTCAGTTTTCCCCATTCAGTATGATACTAGCTATGGATCCATCACACATGGCTATTATAGTGAGGTATGTTTCTTCTACACCCAGTTTTTTTAGAGGTATTTATCAGGAAGGTATGTTGAATTTTATCAAGTGCTTTTTGAACATCAATTGAAATGATTATACGCTTTTGTCCTTCATTCTTTTGGTATGATGCATCACACTGATTGATTTGCATGTGTTGAATCATCCTTGCATCCCTAGGATAAATTCCACTTGGTCATAATGGGTGGTCTTTTTAATATATTGCTGAATTCAGTTTGCTAGCATTTTGTTGAGGATTTGTACTTTAATATTCATCAGAGATATTAGCCTGTAGTCTTCTTTTTTTGATGTATCTTCATCTAATTTTGGTATCAGGGTAATACCGGCCTTATAGAATGAATTTGGAAATATTCCTTCCTCTGTTTATCATAATAGCATGAGTAGGATTGGTATTAGTTCTTCTTTAAAAGTCTGGTAGATTTCAGCAGTAAAGCCATCAGGTCCCAGTCTTTTCTTTACTGGAAGATTTTTTATTATGGCTTCTATCTTTTCACTTATAATGTGAGTCTGTTCAGGTTATGGATTTCTTCACAGTTCAATCTTAGTAGGTTGCATGTTTCTAGGAATTTCCCCAGTTCTTCTAAGTTTTCCAATTTATTGGCATATAGATGCTTATAATAGCCATTAATGATCCTTTGAATTTGTGTGGTGTCATATGTAATGTCTCCTTTTTCATCACTGATTTTATTCATTTTGGTTTCTCTTTTTTTTTCATTAGTCTGGCTAAAGTTTTATTGAATTTATTTAACTTTTCAAAAAACCAACTTTTGTTTCGTTGATTATTTGTATTGTTTTCTTCATTTCAAATTCATTTATTTCTGCTCTAATCTTTATTATTTCTTTTCTTCTAATAATTTTGAGTTTGGTTTGCTCTTGGCTTTCTAGTTCTTTAAGATGCATTGTTAGATTGTGTATTTTAAATTTTTCTCTTTTTTGACATAGGCACTTATAGCTATCAACTTCTCTATTTATACTGCTTTTGCTGTATCATGTAGGTTTTGCTATGTTGTGTTTCCAATATTATTTGTTTCAAGAAATTTTTCAGTTTTCTTAATTTTTTCTCTGGTCCATCAGTCATTCAGGAGCATAATTGCTTAATTTCCATGTATTTGTATAGTTTCCAAAATTTCTCTTGTAACTGATTTCCAGTTTTATTTTATTGTGTTCAGAGAAGATGCTTAATATTATTTTAATTTTTTTGAATGTTTTAAGGCTTGCTTTGTCACATAACATAAGGTTCACCTTTGAGAATAATCCATGTGCTGAGGGAAAAATGTGTATTCTGCAGCTGTTGGGTGAAATGTTCTTTAAATATTTCTTAGATCTATCTGGTCTTTAGTGCAAACTAAGTCTGATGTTTCTTTGTTTATTTTCTGTCTGGAAGATCTGTCCAATGCTGAAAGTGGGGTGTTGAAGTTTCCAGCAACTATTGTATTGGAATCTGTCTCTGTCTTCTTTATTTCTAATAATATTTGCTTTATATATCTGGGTACTCCAGTTTTGGGTGCATACATGTTTAAAATTGATATATCCTCTTGCTGAATTTATCCGTTTATCATTATATAGTGACCTTCTTTGTCTCTTCGTATAGTTTTTGTCTTGAAATCTATTCTGCCTGATAAAAGTATAGCTATTTTTGCTTTTTTTTTTTTGGGTCCCATTTGCATGGAATATTTTTTTTCCATCCCTTCATTTTCAGTCTACGTGTGTCATTATAGGTGAAGTGTGTTTCTTGCAGGCAACAGATCAATGGGTCTTATTTTTTCATCCATTCAACCACTCTATGTCTTTTGATCAGAGAGTTTAGTCTATTTACATTCAATGTTATACATAAGAACTTACTCTGACCATTTTGTGTTTGTTTTCTGGTTGTTTCATGGTCCTCTCTTCTTTCTTTCTTTTTCATCTTCATTTTAATGAAAGTGGTTTTTTCTGATGATATGATTTAACTTCTTCCTTTTTAATTTTTGTGTATTTATTGTACATTTTTTGCTTTAAGGTTACCATGAGGCTTCAAATGCCATCTTATAACCCATTACTTTAAGCTGATAACAACTTAACATGATTTGCATAAACAAACAAACCAGCAAAAAGAAAACTAATAAAAACTCTACACCTTAACTTCATCCTCCTGCTTTTTAACTTTTTGTTGTTTCTATTTATATCTTACTGTACTGTCTATGTCTTGAAAATTTGTTGTAGTTATTATTTTTCATGGGTTCATCATTTAGTCTTTCTACTTAAGAGTAGTTTACACACCAGTCATAGTTATAATATTCTGTGCACTTACTATTTCCAGTGAGTTTTCTGCCTTCCAGTGATTACTCATTGCTTTGAACATTCTATTATTTCTGATTGAAGTACTCCCTTTAGCATTTCTTGCAGGACAGGTTTGGTGTTGATGAAATCCCTCAGCTTTTCTTTGTCTAAAAAGGCCTGTATTTCTTCTTCATGCTTGAAGGATATTTTCGCTGAATATACTATTCTAGGGTATAAAGGTTTATTATTATTATTATTCAGCATTTTAAATATGTCATGCCATTCTTTCCTGGCCTGTAATGTTTCTACTGAAAAGTATGCTGCCAGACATATGAGGTCTATTGCACATTATTTGTTTCTTGTATCTTGCTGCTTTTAGAATCCTTTCTTTATCCTTGACCTTTCAGAGTTTATTAAATGCCTTGAGGTAGACTTCTTTGGGTTAAATCTGCTTGATGGTCTATAATCTTCTTGTACTCAAATGTTGATATCTTTCTCTATTGGTTACTTCTCTGATGTCATCCCTTTGAATTAATTTTCTACCCTGGTCTCTTTCTGTCTACCTCCTCTTTAAGGCCAACAAACTCAGATTTGCCCCTTTGAGGCTATTTTCTAGATTCTGCAGGCATGCTTCGGTGTTTTTTATTCTTTTTTCTTTTGTCTCCTCTGACTGTGTGTTTTCAAATACTGTCTTCAAACTCCCAAATTCTTTCTTCTGCTTGACCAATTCTACTATTAAGAAACTCTGATGCATTCTTCAGTATGCCAATTGTATTTTTCAGCTCCAGAATTTCTGCTTGATTCTTCTTAATTATTTTGATCTCTTTCTTAAACTTACTGGATAGACTTCTGAATTCCTTCTCTGTGTTACCTTGAATTTCTTTGGATTTGCTCAAAGCAGCAATTTTGAATTTTCTGCCTGAAAGGTCACATATTTCTGTTTCACCAGGATTGGTCCTTGGTGCCTTATTTAGTTTATTTGGTAAGGTCCTGTTTTCCTGGATTGTCTTGATACTTGTAGATGTTTGTCTATATATGGGCATTGAAGAGTTAGGTATTTATTATAGTCTTTGTAGTCTGGGCTTGTTTGTACTCATTCTTCTTGGGAAGGCTTTCCAGATACTCTAAAGGACTTGGTGTTGTGATTCAATCTTTATCTGCTTTAGGAGACCCCCTAGGCCCAATAACACTGTAGTTGTTACATACTCATAGAGGTACCACCTTGATGGTCTTGGAAAAGGCCCAAGAGGATTCTCTAGATTATCAGGCAGACACTCTTGTTTTCTTCCCTTACCTTCTCCCATGCACACAGTGTTTCTCTGTTCTGAGCCATTTGAAGTTGGGGATGGAGTGACACAAGCACCCCTGTGGTTACCACCACTGTGACTGTGCTGAGTCAGACCTGAAGCACGAACAGCACTGGGTCTCATGAAGGGCCTGCTGTAACCACTCCCTGGCTACTGCCTTTTTGTTCAAGGCCCTGGGGCTCTACAATCAATGGGCAGCAAAGCCAGCTAGGCCTGTGTCCTCCACTTCAGGGTGGTGAGTTTCCCCAGGCCCTGGGCAGGTCCAGGGGTACCGTCTGGAAATCAGGGACTACAGTAAAAATCCTTACAAGTCTACTTGGTGTTCTATTGTACTATGGCTGAGCTGACACTCAAATTACAGGATGAAATTGTTTCTCTCTTTTCTCTCCTTTACAAAAGCAGAGGAGCCTCACCCAATGGCCACTACCACCACAGGCCCATGAGGAGTACTGCCAGACTACTGTTGATATTCCATTAAGGCCTAAGGGCTCTTCAGTCAGCTTGTGGTAAATGCTGCCTTGCCTGGGATTCACCTTTCAGGGTGGTGGGCTCTCCTCTGGCCAGGAAAGGTCCAGAAATGCCATCCAAGAGCCAAGTCCTGGAATCAGGGACTCCAAGAGTCTGCTTGTTGCTCTATTCCCCTGTGGCCGAGTGGGTACTGGAGGTGCAAGACAAAGTCCTCTTTACTTTTTACTCTGCTTTTCTCAAGCAGAAGGAGTCTCACTCTATAGCCACCACAGCTGGGAATGTGCTGAGTCTCACCTGAAGCCAGCAATCCTCAGAGGCTCACCCAAAGCCCTCAACATAGTACCTAAGTATCACTGGTTATCAGGACCCAAGGGCTCTTCATTTAGCAGATGATGAATGTCACCAGGACTGGGTCCTTTCCTTCAGGGTAGCGAATTTGCTTCTGGTCCAGAGTGCATCTAGAAATGTCTTCTGGGAGCTAGGGCCTGGAACGGGAGCCTCATGACTCTGACTGGTACCCTATCATGCTGTGGCTAAGCTGGTATCCAAGTTGCAAGACAGTCTTTCCTCTTCTCCCCTCAAACAGAAGGAAAATATTTCTTTTGAAGCAACGAGTATGCAATCTGGGGTTGGGTGGGGGGGTAATGCTGGCACTCCCTTAGCCACCCTGGCTCGTGTCTCAGTAGGATGCATGCCTTCTTCTCAAGTCCACTGTCTCTGGGCTTATTTCGACACTAAGACTCTCCTAGGAGTTGCCATCCTTGTGTCTTAAACTGCCTTTCAAGTTTATTTAGTGTCTCAGAGCCCTTTAGCCTGTGGTGGCCGTAGTGGTGAAGCTTGTGGGAATGCTGGGATCAGAGATTCTCCTCCGGCTAGGGCTGGTTTAAATGCTCCCTACATGGGGTAGGAGAGGGGTGTGGTGTTGGTGAATCAAGATTGTTTTTTTCTACTTCTTCAGTGCCTCTTTCTGAAATTTGAGGTTAAAGCCAGGTACTGTGAGGGTTCATTTGAATTTTGGTTCTTATAGAGGTACATTTTTGTGTTGATAGTTGTTAAATTGATGTCCATGTGGGTGGAAAGTTTAGTGGAGCCTTCTATTTTACCATCTTGCTCCATCTCCTCCCACCTTCATATTTTATTCAACTATAAACTGGTATTATTATTCTTTAAATACATTTTCCCAGGTTTCTATTGCTGAAATGTTCAACATCTCACAGAAAAATTGAAATGCTGCAACAAACATGCTTATACCTTTTCCTAGATGAAAATTAACAATAGTTCCAAAATATTACCTGATCCTTATACATCTATCTAATTTCATCTAGTATATTCAATATCCAAATTTCCTCAACTGTCCCAAAAAAAGAAGGGGGAGGGTTTATAGTTACTTTAGTTGAATCAGGATACAGAGTCCATGTATTACACTGAGGGATTTCTTTTTTTTTTTTTTTTTTTTTTTTTGGTAGTCTTCAAAAATCTTAAACAGGCTTCTCTATGTTTTCTTTCTTCATGGCCTTCCAAAAAGTTCAGACCAGTTTTATAGTAGAATGTCCCTAAATGGAAAAGTTTAACAGCCGGTTCTATGTTTTTATTTTAGCCTCAAGGACATATGGAGGATTTGACTCTTGATGATATCTTTCTTTCAGAAAATTGTTAGGAGGTTACCAATACCAGATTCAAATAAATGAGAATTCAAGAAAGAACTGTGTATACAATGTATACATATATGATGTAATTCATTTTCTGGATAATCAAGTAACAAGAAATCAATATTGAAATGACATGACCACACTGGAGAATGGATGCTAATCATGTATTCCTGAGACAGGACACCATCAGCTATATATGAAAGCTAGAGCTGATGGTTTCCTAGAGCTGAGGCTCATGTGACCCAGCTCAGCCTCATCTCTGGTGACCCCACGAGACCCAAATGCAGAGCTGCCCCTTGGAAATAACAACAGCTTCACTATATTGTTGATGTGCATATAATTTGCTTTTCTGTCCTGACTCTTTTTTTAAGGCTAAGTAAATTTGGTGCTGGATGAAGCCTGTTGAGTATTGTGTGTCTGATTGTTCATCTAAATGTTAGAGTATTGCTGCCAGTAGAGCAGAATGGTCACGTAGTACCACATTCTGTTTTTGTCTAATTCCTGTTCCCACCATGGTGTCATTTAACCTATACCCCTACTCATAAAATATTTTGTAAACTGGAAGTTACATGTACAGGCATAATGAGATTCAGATTAAATAATTTTGGCAAACATGCTTAGTAGATGGATTTTGTCTATTTTACTTTATATTGCATGAAGGGGCACATAGCGTCATTAGTTCCTGCACTAGTTTATTTAGGTTGCGATAGCAAAATGCCATAACCTAGGTGGCTTATAAACAAAAGAAATTTATTTCTCACAGTCTGAAGGCTGGGAAATTCAGATCAAGATGCCATCAGATTCACTGTCCGATGAGAGCCCACTCCCTTGGTCATAGATGATGCCTTCTTGCTGTGTCCTCACATGGTGGAAGGGGCAAATAACGCTCCCTTGGGCCTATTTTATAACACGACTAATCCCACTCATGAGGACTCTGCCTTCATGACCTCCCCAAAGACCTCACCTTCTAATACCATCACCTTAGGAGATAAGATTTCAACATGTGAATTTTGTGGAACACAAAAATTCAGACCATAGCAGTCCCAGTCTAGTCATAATAGGTTTGATTGCCTGCCTATGGTATGGGCATTTAGAAACAAAGGTCTGGTAGCTCAGCATGGTCATTGTTACTGGAGTTTCATTGCTCCTATTATTTTTTAAGCCCTTGTAGTGAACGGAGGTAGGAAATACATGTTTTCTTAGTACAGTATAATTTTATGTTGATATTGCCAATTCAAATTATTATTACAGATTTTTTAAACTTATTTTGCCTTGTGTTTGTATCATTTTTTCTTTTATACTAAAAAATCTTCGCTCCGAGTAGTAGTAATATAGTTATTTATTTGCTTATCATAACAATATAGATAATAAAGTTTCAAAATGCCAATACTAATAGTACTACTAGGGGTAAAATTACTTAGTGAGGTATTTCTTTAAAAGTTTTATTGTTGTTGTTTGTCCTCAGAATGTATTAAACTATGTACAATTTCAAAAGTTACTTAAAATTAATCTTTGGTGATGTTATCAATTTTATATATAAATGCTCCCCAACTTATGATGGTTTGATTTACTACTTTTCAACTTTATGAGATGCAAAAGCAATATGCATTTAGTACACTTCCTAACTTAGAATAGGGTTACATCTGAGTAAGCTCATCCTCAGTTGAAAATATCATGTCAAAAATCCACTTTCAATTTGGGATAATTTCAATTCACAATGGGTTTATCTGTCTATAACCCCACCGTAAGTTGAGGAGAAGGTGTGCATTTGAGTCCTTTGTTTCTATTTGTGTTAAATTTTGGTGTTCACTTTGGTTTATTTTACATTTAATTCTGCATATGTGAAGCACTTAATTTAAAACCATATAAAAAAGTCAACAGAACATACTTTTGTGGGAATATATTCCAGGAACTCTCACTCTCATTCTTATCCCACCACTTCATTTTCATGCTTCCTTTATAGATAATCATTTTCATTGATTTCTGTTTTATCTTTCCTT